>NC_000004.12:113769865-113921381 GCF_000001405.40 Homo sapiens
AAGGTGATGCATCTTTATCCTTAAAGCTCTCCCATTTTTAATGTTTTTCTGTTTCATTTATCAGTGGTTAAAAAAAAAAAAGAGCCTCAATTAGTAACTCGTATGTGAACAACACCTCTTTTTCACAACTGCTTGGTTTGTTTAACAAGGAAAAAGTGCTATCAACTTAAGAGTGAAAAGGTGTTTTTGAAGGTAGAGGTAATTATGGTGGGTTGTCAAACAACATAGTAATAGAAAACAAAATGAAGGACCCCTACAGCTTAAATATGAAGACTGTTGTAATTAATTTTGCAACATTTATTCTATAAGTTGGTGTGTGTGTGTGTGTGTGTGTGTGTGTGTGTTAGACCAGGTGCTCTGAGAATATAATGTGGAAAAAATAGTGTCTCCACTTTTATAGGGTTTATTTTTCAGTGGGACAAATAGGCATTAAACCAATTACTCATTAAAAAATTAAGTAATATAAAGGAAGAATACGGAGAATGTGTATTATTTGTCTTGGTGGAGTAGGCACAGGTTTTTCTGAGAATGTATGAGCAAAATGAGATCCAAAGGATCCTATTATTTTGTTTATAATAGTTAAATAGTTAATATTAATAACTAAATTAAAGAGAAAGTACAGGGAAAAGCATTCTAGTAGATGAAACAGGACAAATTCAAGGAACCAAGTGGGTCTGATGTGGTAAGAGTGTAGTAAGGGAAATGATTCTATAGAATTGGGCAGAAGAGTGTCTCATGGGGCACTTAAAATTAGGCGAAGAACTGTGCAAACACTGAAAGGATTTAAGAATGGGTGTGACATGTCTATATGATAGAGTTCATTATCACTATCTGGTGGAAAATGAATTTTCCCTATCAGCAGTGACTTTAAAAGGCAAGGTAAGGAAAAGTGATAGCTAGACTTTAGGTGGTGGTAGTAAAAATATAAATCAATGAATATTTAAAATATATTTGGAAAATAAATAGTAAAAAATTTTTTAAAATTGACAATTGATAACTTCTGTGTTAATATAAATTAGATAAAACTGTAGAGCACTTATGTTGGTATGACTGGGGTCTTTTTGTTTTTAAATTCTGCTCAGGAAATATAAAACCACAAATCAATGAATTACTGTTTGCTTCAGGCAATTCCATCAGACCAAGTTATTAGAGAGAGGACCCTGTCACCTGGTCAAGTAGCTTGCTTAACAGTTTAGTTATAAAGACTTACTTTACTGTTTCCACCAATTTTAAACTAGTAGATCATGAACTTTGCCCAATTCTCAATCAATGCCCCTTTGAGAAAGACTTTATTAAGCCACTTGAGGCCAGACTTTAAATGCTATAAATATCTCACCTCTAGTTTCCTTCTAAAGCACTAGGATTCTAACAAGACGGTATCCTATTTGCAGCACTTTATTAACAGATTGTTTAAAGATATTTTGGGGAGTTAATGTAAACATAGGAAGTTCAGAAACACTGGGATAGTCATACCATAAAATATATAAAGCTATTATTGCATTGAATTATGCTGTAGGGAAGTATTGTGATAGAAAAGTGTCACAATATATTAATAAAATTAAAGTTATTGAAAAGTTTACATATTTTAACCTCAGTTTTGTGTTTGGTTGTTTACATGGATAGATGATGGATAGATATTCAGTTCTCTAAGTAAAACTATTTTTAATTATGATTACCTCCTATGGAGGTGGAAATAAGAATAATTTTTTTAGAATTTTTTTTTTTTTTGAAACACACTCTGTCTCTGTTGCCCAGGCCTGAATGCAGAGTGCCACAATCATGGCTCACTGCAGCCTCAATCACCTGGACTCAAGCAATCCACCCACCTCAGCCTCCTGAGTAGCTGGGACCACAAGTGTGCACCACAACGGACCTGGCTAATGTTTTTATTTTTTGTATTTTTCTCCCTATGTTGCCTAGGCTGGTCTCGAACTCCTGGGCTCAAGCAATCCTCTTACTGAGCTCAGCCTCCCAAAGTGCTGGGATTGCAGGGCTGAGCTACTGCACTGGGCCCAGAATTTTAATTTTTTTTTCTTTTTTTTTTGGAGACAGAGTCTTGCTGTGTCACCCAGGCTGGAGTGCAGTGGCACTATCTTGGCTCACTGCAAGCTCTGTCCCCTGGGTTCACACCATTCTCCTGCCTCAGCCTCCCAAGTAGCTGGGACTACAGGCGCCTGCCTCCACATCTGGCTAATTTTTTTGTATTTTTAGTAGAAATGGGGTTTCACTGTGTTAGCCAGGATGGTCTCGATCTCTTGACCTCATGATCTGTCCACCTCAGCCTCCCAAAGTGCTGGTGAGAGGTGACAACGTGCTAGCAGCCCTCGCTCGCTCTGGGCGCCTCCTCAGCCTTGGCGTCCGCTCTGGCCATGCTTGAGGAGCCCTTCAGCCTGCCACTGCACCATGGGAGCCCCTCTCTGGGCTGGCCAAGGCCAGAGCCGGCTCTCTCTGGTTGCGGGGAGGTGTGGAGGGAGAGGCGCTGGCGGAACCCGGGCTGCGGCACTCACGGGCCAGCATGAGTTCCGGGTGGGCTCCGGGTGGGTGCGGACTCAACGGGCCCTGCACTTGGAGCAGCTGGCGTGAGGGGCTTAGCACCCGGGCCAGCACCTACAGAGGGTGCACCGGGTCCCACAGCACGGCCAGCCTGCTGGTGCCTCACTCGAATTCTCGCTGGGCCTCGGGCACCTCCCCGCGGGGCAGGGCTTGGGACCTGCAGCCTGCCATGCCTGAGCCCCCTGCCCTCCCCCTGACCCCGTGGGCTTTGGCGCTCCCCCAGCCTCCCTGACAGGCACTGCCCCCTGTTCCTCCGTACCCAGTCCCATAGACTGCCCAAAGGCTGAGGAGTGCAGGGAGTGCTGGGTGTGCAGTGGGGGACTGGCTGGCAGCTCCACGCCGCCGGGATTGGGATTCACTAGGTGAAGCCAGCTGGGCTCCTGAGTCAGGTGGGCACTTGGAGAACTTTTATGTCTAGCTGAAGGATTGTAAATGCACGAATCAGCACCCTGTGTCTAGCTCAAGGTTTGTAAATGTGCCAATCAGTGCTCTGTGTCTAGCTAAGCTGGTGGGGACTTGGAGAACTTTTGTGTCTAGCTAAAGGATTGTAAATGCACCAATCAGCACCCTGTCAAAATGGGCCAATCAGCTCTCTGTAAAATGGGTCAATCAGCTCTCTGTAAAATGGACCAATCAGCAGGATGTGGGTGGGGTCAGATAAAGGAATAAAAGCAGGCTGCCCAAGCAAACAAAGGTAACCCGCTCAGGTCGCCTTCAGTGCTGGGTAAGCTGTTGTTTTGCTCTTCGCAATAAATCTTGTTGCTGTTCACTCTTTGGGTATGTGCTGCCTTTATGAGCTGTAACACTTAGAAGGTCTGCAGCCTCGCTTTTGAGGCCAGCGAGACCACGAACCCACAGGAAGGAACGAACAACTCCAGATGCGCCGCCTTTAAGAGCTGTAACACACACCACCAATGTCCGCAGCTTCACTCCTGAAGTCAGCCGGACCACGAACCCACCCGTAAGAAGAAACTCCGGACACACTATGTTTTAGAACTTTAACACTCACTGCTGGAGTCTGTGGCTTCATTCTTGAAGTCAGTGAGACCAAGAACCCACCAATTCCGAACACATCTGGGATTACGGGGGTGAGCCACTGCGCCCTGCCTAAAATTTTCCTTCATTGAATATATTTTACTTGTACAGTAAAAAGCAAGGAGTACTACAAAGAAATACAACTTCTGAATTTACGTATATTTGTGTATTAGAATGTAGATTCCAGAATCAGAAGTGCGGAATTTGTAAGCTCTGTGATTGAGATTTGGTGATGGGGAAATAGGATAGGGACCAGGAATAACTTCTTTGCATGGCCTAGTTTCACAGTAATCTGGTAAGATATATAATATTTTTCATTTTATGAATGAGAAAACGTGGGTACAAAATGTTTAAATAACTTTCTCACTGAAAATATGGGTCAATTCAAATTTAATACTCAAGAATATCTAAGATAATAGTAACGGGTAACATTTGTTGGGTGTTTGCTATATGACTCAGAACCTTCTGAGATAGTTGTCTATTATCCTCATTTTATAGATGAGGAAACGGGCACAGTCATGTGTGTTCAAAGGAAGTGACTGAGTAAGGAAGCAAATTCAGGTAGGCTGAGCCCCAAAGCTTGTATTTTTAATCACTGCATATTACCTTCCATATTTTTATTCATTTCCTATGCCACAGCTAGATACTCATAGATATCTATACTTTTCAGATGGGCAATGCTGAAAATATTTAGCTATTTAAGTTTGGCTGATTTTTAAGGGGAAGAGCAGTGTGAAGTGAGCAAATGGACTGTAGAAGTAATTTGTTTTCTGAGGAAAATCAGTTGAATTTCCTTCTTTGCTAATTAGCAACCCTAGTCCCTAAGTGTCAAATAATATCAGCCAGTCAGCACTGCTTTTCCAGAGAGATTGGTGACTTGTTTTCTAAACACACTACTTCTGTAGTTACTATAATATGTCCTGCTATAGAAGTTTGGCTAAGCCCGTCTTTCCTCTCTTCCTTTTAGGGATCACCTTTAGTTTTTACCTCTCCCTGGTTCTGGTACCTCCATACCCCAATTTAGTATTCTATTTTATATTAAGATAATTCAAGTAATGGTCTGCAAATCTAGACTAAGTTGTAAGGAGGGGAAAGGAATGATAAACTTCCTAAATCCTCACTGCATATCCCAGCAACTAGAGACAAACTCATTTTCTTTTTTCTTTTTGATACAGAGTGTCACTCTGTCACCCAGGCTGGAGTGCAGTGGCACAATCTCGGCTTGCTGCAACCTCCACCTCCTGGGTTCAAGCAATTCTCCTGCCTCAGCCTCCTGAGTAGCTGGGACTGCAGGCATGCACCACCACGCCCAGCTAAGAAAACTCATTTTCTTAATGCCTTTCTCCTGGCTTCACCCCCAAGCCCCATCTCAAATCCTTATCCCATTTCCAAGATCTGCTTCCTGATCTTTAGGCTCTTCCAACAGGCTGGCAAGGTCAGAATGTGGATATTTTCAGAAATGTGAAGGAAGGATTAACGTTCATGTGGATTCTGTCAATAGCTATCACGGCCCTCTGTTTAAGTCTGTGCGGTCTGGCTTCCATCCGTCTACTCTGAGGATCCTGCTTATGACCAAGGACTCCCAATGATCAAATCCAGCCAACTGAGTTAAGCCTCAACCTCATGTGAATCTATAGAAATCTGCATAGCCAGTTACCACTTCTGAACTGTTTTGACTCAATTCAATTCCAACATGAAGTCACCAAATGTTAGCACAGACTCTGCAGGTTAAGGGCTCAGCTCCACAAAACTGTCCCCACTTCGGACTTCTGTCCCAAGTCCCAGGTTGCCACATGTATGTATAACCAGCTGGCTATAAATTATGGGGAGGGGTTCCCATATTCCCCTCCACAGGTTTGATAATTTGTTAGAAACACTCACAAAACCCAGGAAAACAGTTGGCCATTTTATTATAAGAGATAGGAGTTTACAATCCTTGGAGTAATAATGTGTGACTGATGTTTCCTTGTTTGTCATTTCTAGCAATTTCCAAATCCTATAATTCTGTACTAAAAGTATCTCTTTCAACTCCAATTAGGATTTATTCCTTCCCACTTATATGTGGTTACGGAGGGTGTCCTTATTAAAGAATGCAAATGAACAGCCAGGTGAAGAGGCCCAGAATGGTTCCCAATGCAGGAGCTTCTGTTCCATGGAATTGGGGGTGTGCTACCTCCCAGCACATGGACCAAATTTAAGTGTGCATCAACCTGGCTGTTCCCCAAAACCCATCATTTAGAGTTGTTTATGGAGGTTTTCAGTTATGGAGGAATGATTTATTAAATCAGGCCATATTGATTAATTCAGTCTTTAGCTCCCTCTCCTCTCCCTGGAGTGAGGGGAGGGGCTGAAGTTTCTAACCCTCTATTCATGCTTTAGCTTTTCCAGTGACCAGAACCCATCCTATCTGGGGGACCACAGCCACCAGTCATCTCATTAGCTTACAAAAGAGACAACTCCTGAGATTTCAAGGGTTTTAGAAGCTGAGTGCCAGAAACTGGTGACAAAGACCAAATACATACGTATTACACCATCTTTTCTTGAAACTGTCTTCCTTGGACTTTCTCAATTCCAGTTCTCCTGGTATTTCTACTGCTACGAATTGTTCCTTCATTATTCATTTTGTTGCCTTGTTCTTCCTTTCCTTTTTTCTTAAACTTGGGTCTTTCCCACTGCTTTGGCATGTATAACACTGCCAAAGCCCTTAGCCATTATCTCCATATAGATAAATCACACATTGTGATAATTAGTCTCAGTAGTTCTGAATAGCTCATTCTTATTTCCCACTTCCTTTTTGTTGACAACGTGTATCCTTTCTAAAGTTTCAATATCTGCTTGCGGTACAATTTTCCTATTTATTCAAATTCAATCGGAGTAATAATGCTTGACTGCTCTTCCCTTGTATTAATTTCCAACAAGTATCAAATCCCATAGATTCTGTATTAAAAGTATTTCTTTCATCTGTCCATTAGGATTTATTCCTTCCCACTTACATGCCATCATCATGAAGGGAGCTTTTATTATCATGGCTCAGTGACTGCCATGTCTCCTGACTGTTTCACCTATTGAGCCACCTCTTCCAAACTACCAGCTTATGGCTTCAGTCTTCTATGATTCCCATTGGTCACCTTCTATATTAAAAATGAGAACAACTTAAGAAATTAGGTCCTAAAATAAATTTCCCAGCGTATGCATTCCTTCCATAATAACTATTACTTATTTAGCATATACTATGTGCCAAAAACATCATTAGCCATGTTACTGATAGAGACAGGAGACAGCCAAGGGTCCCCGGCAAAACCCCACCTTTAAGCCTAAAGCAGCCTGACGGCTGAAAAGCCGTACTGCAGGTCCTGGATGAAGCCAGGCTTTTCCCGACTGATTGTTCCTGAATGATGCCCATCTGCGCACTGGGAAGACGGGGTGGAGCCTTGGGAAGTTCCCGCCATTTGCAAGGGGGAGGAACCTGGCCTCTCCTGTTCCTGTGTGGTGACCTGGGATTCAATCTGTGAGGCGGGAAACCTGCTAGCAGTACTCTCTCTCACTTTGCTGAGAGTTATTTTTCCTTTTTTCTTTTCGCCCAATAAACCCTGCTCTACTCACCCTCCAATGCATCCGCGTGCCTAAATTTTCCTGGTTGTGTAACAAGACCCTGTTTTTTTTCCAACAACATTTTATATATCACTTTTAACCTCTTCGACAACTCAGAAAACTAAAGCTTATTATATCTATTGTAGGTTTTAGCAAACAAGATTCAATTAGTGATATATTTGCTTCCATAATGTCACACCTACTAGAAGGCAGATAGCTCTATCATTTGATCCAGATCTCTTGGATTCCCAAAGCTCATTCTGAAAATGTAATATATAAGATGCTACCAAGATGCATATACTAGAGAATCACTGAATGAAAATAAAAATATTTGTATTATATGTCACTATATACTGAAAAAAATTAAAAATTAATACAATGAAGTTAGGAAGTTTACTCTTTAGGGATTTTTGTTGATGTAGAATAAAATTAAGTATAAAGCAAGAAAATATTGATACTTTTACCTGCTCTAAATTTCTTATCTCAGATTCATGAAATGGTAACTTCTATGTCAGCGAAGTATTTATTTAGATCCAAACTGGGATTGTAACTATAAGAAGGAAAATATCTTACTACTCTGCAAACAATGGCAGGGACTTCTTCTGGAAGGTATTATGTGAAATTGATGCTTGTAAACACATGATTACAAAAGATGTTTATAATGAACTACATGCTTGAGTTTGCCTCTCATGCACAATAATAAAGTGCTGACTACCTATTCCTCCAGCTAGAAGGAAACTAAGTAAATATATGAAAATGGTTCTGTGAATGCCCAAGATGTCACAGTGTGTAAGAAAACAAGGCTTTCCCCCACAACCATCATAGTAAAATAAAACAGAAAAAAAAAAAACTTTGGTAAACTATAAGCTACTGCTCAGAGGTTTTATTGTAATAAAGTATTCAGTGGTTCCACTTTGGTTCTTGTTTATCTCTCTGTTTCCATTTTTGTTTATGTCATTAATATGTGTTTGTATATAAGTTTCTGATTCCTTCTTTTAGTACCATCCCTCCAATTTTATGTTTATGAATTGTTCCAAAGAGGGGGAAAAAAAAGGCATTTTATGTCAAACAACATGGCTTATTGTCCAGCCTGAGGAAGCCATTATACATAGGAAGTGAATGAAAATTAAACTCATTCTGGATGCAGTTGAAGACAATCCTTTTTGTTCTCTATATTCAAGAAGGATTTATCAGTCTCTGAAACTTAAGAGACCCAGAATCTAAAAGGGATTTCAAGAGATCAATCTAGAAGTAAAAGGAAGGCACTTTGATGTATTCAAACATCAATTCAATATAGGTTATTGCCAGAATCTTATCAGAATCTGCCAGTGATTCCTAGACATTACTTTAAAGCCGGTATTTATGTAACTAATACAATTCTTTGATTTCAAGTGGCAGAAAGAAGTGGAAGAATTTATTATAACTATTCAAGAATATTTTACAGAATGCAATGACAGGAATAATCCTTGTCTCAAAGAGATTTAGAATTTATAAATGGAAAAACATCAAAAAGTTAGCAGTATTCTGACTCCATCTCTCATTTGTACTTCTTTCTGTGCCGTACTGTTTATTTTACGTTGTGTAAAAGTCCAACGATACCCCATAAGGGTATAGGGGTTGCTCACTGCACAAGGATATTCAGCTGAGGGAGTTAAAATACAGTCCTAGTTCTGCTAGCCATGCAGTGAACCCTGAGGGCTGAGTTGTCCTAGAAAGGGTATCTCTTCCAGTTTCCAAAAGGCAGCATATGGTCAAGTGGAGGCGCCATCAAATGGGTTTGCATGTTTCAGATCCAATCACCCAAAGAAAATGAATATGAATAAAATGAATAAATTGCAAATCGCCAGAAAAGAGATTTTGATTGAATGTGCTACCCAGTCCTGGCTTAATTAGCAGTGATTCAGAAGGTAAGGATATGTTTTTAAAAAAGAAGTTGTCAATTAGAATTTGGTAGATGCAGTAGTTCTTCACAAAACCTCTTTTCTTTTCTCTTTTCTTTTTTTTTATTGAGACAGGGTCTCACTGGTGCCCAGACTGGAGTGCAGTGGCACAATCATGGTTCACTATAGACTTGACCTCCTGGACTCAAGTGGTCCTCTCGCTTCAGCCTCCCAAGCTGCTGGGACTATAGGCACATGCCACACACTTGGCTAAGTTTTGCACTTTTTTGTAGAGAGAGATTTTACCATGTTGTCCAGGCTGGTCTCAAACTCTTGGGCTCAAGCAATTCTCCCGCCTTGGTCTCCCAGTGTGCTGGGATTACAGGCATGAGCCATTGCACCCAGTTCTAATTTTTATATTTCAGACTGCCCACCAACCACACAAATTTCCTAAGAGTTGATTATTTATGTTTATATTAGAATGAGAAATACAACAAGTAGAAATGATAAAAATGATCTAGATTTGGAGCAAGAGCTAGTTTCTAGGTTTTTTTCCTCCGTGTGTTTAAAATTATTTATAGGTTGGCTTTGCATTTCTAGGGGACTGGAGATCCATTTATTTTTCAATTAAAATATAAGGTATGATTGTTGAAATATTTGTTTTGTATGTTTTCCCCAGAATAATTTTAATCTTTCTTTTGAGGTTACCAAATTTAGCAAATAAAAATACAGGGCACCCCATTAAATCTGAATTTCAGATAAACAATAAATTATTTAGTATATGCCCATGTAATATTTGAGATACAATATACTTAAAATTATTGCATGGGACATATGGATGTTAAATAATTATTCACTGTCTGAAATCCAAATTTAACTTGGCATTCCTTATTTCATCTGGCATACTTACTTCCTTTTTATTATAGATTGAACCCTATGGATTTACTGTAGGAGACCAGAATATGCAGCCCCAAAGTGTGGATTTTTCACATTTTGCTGAAGACAATTAAGAAGAAGCAAATGCAGGAAAGCTTTCTGTCCTCCCTTTTTTTATTTTTAGTTTTTATTTGCTTAAAAGCGGTATATAGATTTATAAATACAAAAGGTTTGGACACTTATCATCTGAAATACCCAAGGGATCTACATTAGTAACCTTTACTGACTAGCCTTTATCCATCATTTATTTGCCTTTCCCCAAGTTGCTGACTATAGCGACTCAAAGTCTTTTTCCTTTGTCTTATTTCTCTAAAAAGTATACTGTTCTTTGTTGAAGATGCTATGTAAGCTGGGATTCAAAGCCACTCCTTTGAGAATTACTCATTCCCTGGGTGTCTCCTATGTATACGTGAAATATACATATTAATTTTTGTGTTGTTTTTCTTTTATCTGTCTTTCGGAACAGGGATCCTTTCCAATTAAGAATCTACGTGGCTTGTAGAAAAAAACCGCTACACCATGTTTACACATTTCTAGATCTAAATTTGGCAGAGAAATTAGGTCAAGGAAATAGACATATGTCCCTACATATAAAATTCATTAAAGCTTGACTTGGTGACTTTACAGTAAAATAGGATAAATTATTACCTGGTCTATATGAGTGAAATTCAGTCTATACATTTTCTTTCATCAAAAAAATAAGAGAAGAATAATATGTTTTATTTTCATAGTATTATATGTGTACTCAATCACACAATGCAGCAAGGATATTTTACAAATAAAATATAATTATCACATAATTTCATCAAAAACTAATTTAGTTTTTTAGAGATTAAAAAGTCAGATACCATTTCCATGCATTACTATTTTCATGTCTCTATTTTTTCTTTTTAATCCTAAATATTTGTAATAGCCTTACATTAACTACACAGAATCACTGCAGTTATTTATAGCTGGCCATTTTTTTGAATAAAACTAATTTTGTTTTTAGTTCTTGAAATGGAAGAAAAAGACGTGTTTCTGCAGTTTAAAAAATAGCACACTGTGAGTTAAATTAAAAACTTAAATCATAGAGTTTTGCAAAAGGGGTAACTATCTTATTAAGTCATATATAACTTGGAATAATTGTTATTTAAATGCACACAAAATGCATTTGATGTTAGATTTAATCAGGTAATTCCAGTAAGAATATGAATTTTGTAGGACATTAGAGAAATCTCTTAATTTTCCTTTATTACTCAAAAGTAATGACACCATGATTATTTTATGGATTTGATGAGCACCTATTCTGTTCTATGTAGTAAATTAGTCAAAATCTGTATTTTAATCTTGTTTCCTTCCTATAATTTCTATCAGGTAAATATTATAGCCTAGAGTTTTTAAAAACTGTTAGAAACTGGTGCTTAGAAATATTTATTAGTTCCTCTAAGTAACATATAAATAGTAAGTGGCCACCTCTGGTTCTGAAGCCAAAAAACTAAATTTATTGTATTTCTAAAATATTTTACTCACTTTCAAGTCAGGAAGAACTGATAATTTATCTTGGTTTTGGGATTTTTTTCTTATTCCCAATAAAAATAAATATTAAAATTTAATTAACATTGATATCCAACAACTTTTTTGTTGTAATGAATAATTTGGCTTGAGCTGTAGTACACTGAGAAGGGGACATGGATAATATCTAATCCTCTCTTGGTGGAAATGTTTTTGTAAGTTATACTAATTTTTCAATGTATTTGAAGAATACTGTCAGTCTTAGAGAATGAGCAAGATAATGTTGACCACTAGAGGGCTTGAAATTTGTGATCACCGTTAGTAATCTAGAAATACTGATGGACATTTCATTAAGGGCTTCTGGTAAATTTTGAAAAGAAATAGACACTTTGACTCCATGGATATTATATAAAGAACAAATGTTGTAGTTAAAATTAATTTTAATGTTTATGTTTATTGGAATGTTTACTTCTAAACAACTGTAGCATTAGGGTGGTTATTTTACAATTATTACTTGATAAATTTCCCAAAGCACCTTAGTGAAAGTGGAAGACAATATAATTAGGGTGAAGTACTAGAATGAACACGAGGGAGAGGCTCTTAGAATACCTACTCAGAAGAGAGGCCAACAGATGACTAGAAAAGACTCTCTGGAGATAAGAGAAAAGATGACAAAGAGGCAAAGAGAACCAACCAAAAAAAATTATTTTTTCCTTGAGTTAATTGGTAAATATTAGTAATGTGAAGCCAAGGGTAGAGAGACTGGGCTAAGTATTAATAATTATTGTAAAAGTGACATTTATTAGATGCTTACTACATGCCAGGACTCTGCTGACATTTACATGCATTAACTCATTGAAACATCAGAAAAACCTCATGATATTTATTATATTCTTATTATTTTACAAATAAGGAAACATCACATCTTCCCTTCATAGACCCTCATTCCTCCCCCTAAAAAAAAAAAAAAACCCAAAAACATTCAATGAGGGCTGTGGCAGACACAGTGCAGTTTTTCTAAAGCAGATGCAGTCTGTAGAGACTAAAGATTTGGAGCTTATTGAGTTTGAGATGTAGGACAAAGCAAAGGTACCTGGTGAGGATGCATTCTTTATAGGCTTTGGAAGAACTGAGTCAGTGCATTTAACAACATCTGAGAGTAAGAAGTTAAATGCCATTGAACAATATCTGATAGTTGGAAGATGGAAATTACATGTGGTCCAAAATCTTGTATGGGGGACAAGGGAAAGATAAAATGGTTAATGGATTACAATGTTAAATGACTAGGTATTTAAAGGCTTATCTAGGTCATAGATTCTTAAAGGCTATATACATGGGGAAATAAAGCAAAACACAACAGAAAGCAAACGCACGATGCACTAAATATGTGTTCTGTAACAATTTTTTGCTATAGCTAGTCATAAGGAAATCCTGTATTTTTGTTACTCCCTGAAGAGCTGAAAAGGAGGTAGAGGTCAAGTCATTGGCTTATGGAATGTTATCTTGAGAGAATTGTATATAAAAATGCACTTATGGTGGTTTTAAATGCAAGCACACTCAAGCTGAAACACACAATAATAGGTAACATACCTAGAGAAAAAAAATCTTTTAACGAGCAGGAAGTGACAGATGAAAGCATAGAATTAGCCATTGTCTTCAGCAAGATGTTGTTCACGCTGATTCCAATAAGCGTAATTATGTAACATTCTCCAGTAGTGTTCAACCACTTGAATGTAGGAACATATTAACAGTTAGTTGGATTTGACCAGTGTTTAGGTTTTGCCAGGGAAGAATAATTGAGGGAGAAAGAAAAAGGGGCATTAAGGACATTTGTTAGAAAGTAAAGCTGGGCACAATGGCTCATAATTGTAATCCCAACACTTTGGGAGGCCTAGGCAGGAGTATTGCTTCAGCCCAGGAGTTGAAGACCTGCCTAGGCAACACAGTGAGACCCCCATCTCCAGAAAAATAAGAAAATTAGCTGGGTGTGGTGGTGAGCACCTGTAGTCTAAAATATTCAGGAGGCTGAGGGGGGAGGAATGCTTGAGTCCAGAAAGGTGAGGTTACAGTGAGCTATGCTTATGCCTCTGCATTCCAGCCTGGGTGATAGAATGTGACTCAGTCTCTCTCTCTCTCTCTCAAAAAAAAAGTAGTTATATGATGGAAACATGAAAAACAAGCTGTACAAGTGACGTGAGGACACGAGGTAAGATGAATAAAGGAAAGTTATGGGGTTAATGAATTAGTGCTAGTAATGAACTGGTGAATTGCATGAGTAGAGTACTAGAGTAAGTAGGCTAGAAGAATAGGAAATGACAGAATGAGATGTTTAAAAGAGAAATTCAAAGATGGTACAGGGTGATGACAATGTCTAGATATGACACATGAGTGGGTCACGGAAGAGTGATAGAGGACAAGATTATTAGAGGTAAGGAAACAAAGGGATTGAGGTCAAGGTGTTGGGTCATCTAATTGGATTTTGAAGTAGATAGCCATGATGACAGAAAATATATAAATGAGTGAAGAGCAGTGACTCAGAGGTCCCTACGTTGCTTAACAAGAAGGGAATCCATAGTGGCAAAGAATGATAACGTGTGTTTCAAAAGACAGAGTTTTGAAGTGTGAAATAGGAGTGACAGTTTGGAAGTAGCAACAGGGAGCAGAGAGGACGCTACCTCAAGCTCTAAGCGTATGTAGTATGTAGCATATAAGAGGAAAATAATAGGCTGGGTGTGGTGGCTCACGCCTGTAATCCCAGCACTTTGGGAGGCCGAGGTGGGTGGATCACGAGGTCAGGAGTTCGAGACCAGCCTGGCCAACATGGTGAAACCCCGTCTCTACTAAAAATACAAAAAATTAGCCAGGCATGGTGACATGCACCTGTAATTCCCAGCTACTCGGGAGGCTGAGGCAGGAGAATCGCTTTAACCCAGGAGGCGGAGGTTGCAGTGAGCTGAGATGGCTCCACTGCATTCCAGCCTGGGCAACAGAGTGAAACTCCATCTCAGGGGGGAAAAAGAAGAAAAAATAAAGACATTTTCCACTTGAAGGGCTCTAGGGAAAGCAGGGTTTGCTGGAGTCAGGTTAATTTCAACAAGAATCTGAAGGAAATGTTCAATAAAAAGATTAAGGAAGTAGAGGAATTTTCTGATAACTGGAAACAAGCTTTGGTGGAAGGACTTGGATGACCAAGAATGTGGGAGATGTGATCAGATTGGTGACGCTGAAAGCAGGGTGGTGATAAATACCTGTGAAATTAGGTGAACTGGGAAGCTTGGATTTCTGAGGGTGATACAAGGGAGCTGGTATTGGACTGGTATTGGAAGCATGATGAAATTCATTTCAGAAGCCACAGAGCACTGAGTTTGGAGGTCATGGGGTGGCTGTTATTGCCTTCAGCTGAAGATGGGGTGATAGGGAGGAGGTGGGTCTCATTCCTGGGATATCAGAAAATCTTGTGCCCAATGTTGCTGGCAAAAGAGCAATAATTCAGTTATCTTTAATTCCCCCAAAAGCCCTCTCTACTAAGTAATTATATTTATTGGAAAAACTCCCACAGAATCTCTAAAGCTCAAAAGTCCCTTGCTTTGTGAACTATTTTCTGGCTTCAACATCCCATAGTTAGTCATTTCCTCTATTACCCAACACACAAAGTGCACAAATAGCACTTTGCACAAACCTTCTGTCTCTCTCACTATACACTAAGCTTCTTGACCCAAGAACTGTGGTTTACTTTGTATCTGTGCCAGAAAGTGGATCATATCCACAAACTGGATGACAAACTCAGGACCTACTCTTCAATAGTCTTTGAGGAGTAAACGAATTAGAAGTCTGCTTAAGTTGTGTTACTATTATTACTAGCTGTTGAACATTTACTTAAGGGTAAGCATTGTGCCAGGAGCTGCACATACATAATCCTGATTTTGTAGGTTTTCTCTTGATTATGCTTATGTTCTTCTAAGAGATAGAATTTTAATTAATCAAACTAAAGGTTAAATACTGCAATGACAAAAATAGAAAAAATGAAGGTGTTAATTTTACTGTGATGTTTATTATTTATTACTGTAACTGTTTTAAGACAAGAAACTTTCTGTAAAGTAAAATGATTCAAAGGGGGAAAATGGCTTACATGATTCAAATATGATCAAAACTTATTTTGAGTTTGTAAGAGAAATATGCAAATTAGACTCTGGTTGACAGTAAACTCAGCTAGGAATATGCAAAGAATCCTCAAACACCAATTTCACTGAGACAGAAAGAATGCTAGAGTGACAGTGTCATGAAATGTCACAGAAATTTTGGCATAGGTAATGAAATTAGAAATTCTATTTTGCATTTAAATTATTTAAAATTATACTAAATTTTTTAAAAATAGGAGATGCCAAATAGCTTCATGTGCTTTCAATTTCATAACACTCTCCTTCCCTAAGGAAAATACTATTGAATATCCAGGGCTTATGTGGAGCTTGCACAAGCCAGGGTCCCAGAGGGTCTGTGATATGAATCCTATATTCTGAGTTGCACAGGAGAATCATACCAACTTCCACCATTGGTAAAAATTTAGGCGTGCAAGTCTGGAATAAGGACTCTCTGACATTTTGAAAGAGGAAGATTTGAGCACTTCCTCATATCTCAGAAGCAACAAAGAATCCTTTTTTCAAAAAATTTTTATCCTCTGGGACATTTACAGAAGCATCACATTAAACCTGGATAAATGAATGTATCCCAGTTACTTAGTAGTTGCTGGCATTGCATTGAATGTATTCTACTACTTAGTCAGTTGCTGACATTGCCCACGTGATGGATGCCATGACTATACCTAGGATACAAGTAGAAGTAACGTAAGCAGCAGCAAGTATTTTTTGAAACAGGGAATGGTTTTAAGTTTTGATGTCCACAAGTAGGTTCTTAATAGTTTAAGCATTTATTTAATTACTTGATCTAAGTGGCCAGCTAAATCAAATGATTCAGTAAAATGACTAAAACTAGGAAAATAGAGGGTTTGAATTATATAGTTGATATTCCTATTCAAATAGGTAGATAATTTGCCAATCTTCACTTCAT
This sequence comes from Homo sapiens, assembly GCF_000001405.40. Classification (NCBI taxonomy): domain Eukaryota; kingdom Metazoa; phylum Chordata; class Mammalia; order Primates; family Hominidae; genus Homo; species Homo sapiens. The sequence continues at coordinate 113,786,419 of NC_000004.12, forward strand.
TTGATGCTTCATAGCCATATCTTCAAGTTCATGGGCAAATAGAGCAGTAGTAGTTTCACTATATAATCAGCAGGATATGGAAGAGGCCAGACTGGTAAAATTAGAATTTTTTAATTGTGTGGGTCACAGTCTCTGAAAGAATAGTACTTATGTTTTATTCTCTAATCTGCCAAAATTGCTGGACTGTGAACAAACCTTCAGATGCTTACTCAGATTGAACTATTTTAATACCCAATGATTACTATTTAGACTAAGTCAAATGAGGCAGATTTGCTAAAATAACTGCTGGACACATCTCAATAAAATTTATCTGTTGAGTATTTAAAAATTTGGACAGAAAACAGGAACAAGTGTTACTAACTATTCTCAGGTGTTACTAAACTTATCAACTATAATCTCAGAAGTTCTGTGTTTACCTTTGAATTTTATTTGCTGACTTTATTCACTAGAGCTGTTATGACTTTTCCTAAAGTTAACTGTCCTGCTGAGTCTTGGATGCTAAGTGTGCAGGATAAGTTAGAAGCAGTCAGGATCTGGGGTTGGCCATGTAGAAGTAATATTAGCTAAATGGTAAATAGGAAGGTAAGAGATTGTGTTCAGAGATGTCAGCTAGGAAACAGAGTGATAACACAAAATATTCAGTTTAAAACTGTCAGGTTGTAAGGATCAGGATACCAGGCTGAGAGATTAAGGGAAAATGGTCAGAGACCTATGAGAGATGGAAAATTAAGATGGTTCAAGTACTTAAACTTTTCAGTATGTGTAGCAGGAGGCTATAATCTGAAGCATAGAGTCTAAATAGTTATAGATAATTATTACTGGTAGCTATTCTTAACTATTTTTATGAGCTTTATACTAAAACTACTAAGACAGAGGTTCTTACAGAGCTCTTAAGGCTAGAAATGTTATTAAAATATTAGACTTGAATGAATGGGTACTTAGCGGCAGGTGAGACCTGAATGGAATAGGGGACTGATGAGTAGAGAGCTAGACAATTTTCCTACCTACATGTTTCTGAAAAGGAAGTGCTTAGATTTGCATCCCAGCTCCATCACATACTACCTGTATGGATTAAATTCATGTCATTTAACCTCTCTCATAATATTTAATATAGAAGATTGCTATGATAATAAATGAAATAAGTGCCTGACATCATGTCAGATTCAGAGTAACCACTCAATAAATGTTAATTTCTGTCCTTCTTCATCTACCACCTAAGCACACTTTGTTTTACAGTATTATGTTTATTCTTGTATATCTCAATAAACTCTCTTTTTGATAATAGGAAAAGTGTGTTGGCATTTTATCACTAGTATCTACCTGATACATGGTAGGTGATCAAAAATGTATTCTATAGATATAGCATGTTTGGAAAGTATTCCCCTTCTAAAGGAAATATTCCCTTCCTAATAGGAAGATAATATGGAAAACTTTAAGACATTCTAAATTTTACCAAGGACTTAACAACAACAAGATATATATACATCATTTATACTTTCTAGGATAGATGTCAATGAGATTTACAAAAATTAGACTGATGGAACTCTGTGGTGATAGGAATCAGAAACTTGGTCAGTTAAAACACTTAGAAGTGGGCCTTCTTCCCAGTAAAGTAGTTGAAAATACTAGACACTTGCTTTCTTGGCCTCCTTTGCTGCTGATGTGAACTTCACTAGAAAGATACATAACCCTCAGCCATGATCATGTTAAGAATTTCCTTCCCCAAGTAGGGACTTGGGGAAGATAGCACTGCTGGGAGCAGCAGTGGCCCTGGGACATAGTCCAACAAAAGTGCTAGGTGGATTGGTTGCAGAGTGGTATCTTCCACAAATTGGTTATGCAACATGATTTTGGGCATTCTTTCTCAATTTTCTTTCCTAGGGATTCTGTGAGCAATCAATACCCTTTTCAATTCTACTTGCAACAAAACAGAAAGAATAGATTTTAAATATGCTGTCACCAAAGGCGCTCCGAACATATTTCTCTTTTCTTTACATTTTATCATGTTGGTGACATCGTAAAGGAAAAGATGCTGGAGGGGGAGGGCATCTTTCAAGGAGAAAAGAAAGATTTATGTTGGTACTTAAAATGAGTTAAAATTTATTTCTAACAATATTAACAGGGACAACAACAGCTGTAGCAAGGAGAGAAAGTGTGTATAGTAGTTTAAAAATTGAAGATGAAATACTAGGATGGTGTCAGAAATTTTGAGTTTAATACTCTAGGAATAAAGTGATTCTGATTAATATGAGGGTGAATTCAGAGACAGACAAGAGTCCGATGTAACTGATTACATTAGCTCCCTTCCTCAATAACGTTGCTGGCTACTGCCAAAACATTCCCACATCTAATTATTCCAGCACTGCTGCCCTTCCATATCATCAAATTTTCATTCTCTACTGGATAATTTAAATCAACATGCACATATACTGTAATATCTCTCACCTACAAAACCCTGCCCTGTTCCTATATCATCTTCTGTTTATATTCTACTCTACTTGTAGCAAAACTCAAGGAATAATTATCTAAACTCATCTTTATTTCCTCTCTTCTCATTCTCTCTTGAACCCACTTCATAAATCTTTCTTCCCCATTTAACCAAAACTACTCTTGTCAAGACCTTTTGTGATCTCTTTGTTGCTCATTTCAACAGTTTACTTTCAGTTCTCAAATTTCTTGACCCCTTCCAACAGAATTAGGCACAGTTAATTAGTCTCTCACTTTTGAACTACTTTTTGTGCTTGGACTTTAGGACAACAAATTCTCCCCTATCTCACTTTTCATTCTTTTCCCTTCTTTTGTGGGTTATCTCTCATTTTTCCAATCTCTAAGCTTTGGAATATCTCAAAGCTCAATTGTTAGAATACCACTCTTTTCTATGTAAACTCATTCCATAAGTGATCTCAATCCAATTTGCTTTAAATGCTATAGATTTCAAGATTCATAACTCCAGCCTAGATTTCACTCTTGTATGTCCAATTATCTACCTGATGTCTCCATTTGAATGTCTAATAGACATTTCAAACATTACATGTCTTAAACCAGACACCTGATTCCTCTATCAATAAACACTAGAATCAGCTCTTTCTGTAATCTTGTCCGTATGTAATTTCTGTTATGCATCATTTGACAATGGGGATATGTTCTGAGAACCATGTCCTTAGGTAATTTCCTAATTGTGCAAACTAAAAGTGTACTTATACAAACCTAGATGTTACAGCCTACTATAAATCTGGGCTATATGGTATGGCCTATTTCTCCTAAGTTACAAACCTGAACAGCGTGAGTGCTGCAGGCAGTTATAACACAATGGTAAGTATTTCTGCATCTACACATGTGTAAATATAATCTTCTGAGACCACCATTGTATAAGCGGTCAATCATTGACTAAAACATTGTTGTATGGCACATAACTGTATACAGTTAATTAAAATTCCATCTCTGCAGTTGTTTAAGCAAAACTCTAAAGTTGTATTTGCCTCCTTTCTTTATCTCACATTCAAACTATCAGCAAATATTGTTGGTTATACCTCAAAATGTATCTTAAATTTGACCATTTTTCAATATCTCCATTGCTACTACTTTGGTTCAAGATACAATACATCTTGCCTGAATTACTGTAAAAGCCTTCAACTGGTTTCCCCACTTGTGCTCTAGACTCCTAGTCTCTCTTTTCCACCTAGCAATCAGTGTGAATTTTTTAAAATAGGTCAGAGTATGTCATTTTTTTTCTATATTCAGTAAAATCCAAAGCCTATTCTCTGACCTTCAGTGCCCTACATAGTCTTCCTCCTGTTACTTCGCTGAATTTAACTACTCCTATTCTCACTTTGTTCACTGTGTTCCAGCCTTACTGGCCTCCTTGCTATTTCCCTCTCACCAAGTACCCACCTAATTTTGCAGTTGTCATTTTCTCGGCATAGGACATAGATAGCCAAGACATAATTTTCTTTTCCCATTTCTTTCTAGTCCTTCTTTAATTGTCACTTTGTTGTGAGACATAACATTCTCCCTAGACCCTATATGTCCATGAAGCTGTCTATGGTACTGGATTATAGTCATCTCTCACTTATTGCCTTAGAGCCTAGGCCTCAGATGGTGACCTAATACCTGCCTTAAAACTTACTTTTCCTGACTCCAATTAACCTCCATAGCTAGTTGCCAGCCCTACCTTTGGTCTTCCTTAATTTAGATCACAATTAAAACCAGCTTCCCACTGAGAAGTTCCTCAAACCTACAGCTCAGTTCTCTGGCCTGTTTCCTCATATTGCCGTGCTTGTTGCTTTCCTTTTGAACTTTGATGATGAAAGAGGGAAGTCTGTAAAACTTCCAGTTCCAAAATGATGGTGTAGAAGCAAGCTGGCTTTACTACCCCAAAAGAAAACCAAAATCAAATATACAGTACCAAGATTATCACCAGCAATATACAAGAACACAAATATGAAAAGGAGACAGTTCTCAGGGGCCACAGAGAACTGAAAAACTCTGAGAAGAAAGTAAAGAATTAGCCTTTCATATCTGAGATACTTCTCTTCCCAATCTGCCCAGAACCAAGTACATGGAAAATTTCCCCCATCTCACAGTTTCTAAACTGAAAAAAGTAAGATTGAGTTGAATAACCAAATTCTCCACCATCTGGGGATCCCTGGAAGTAGACATGTCCCTGTCTCAACCCATGAGAAGCATTGAGAGTGCCTAAAAGAAGAAATGTCCTGAGGATAGCCAGAGACAAAGGAGAGAGGCAGGATTACCATCCCCAGCCCTGGAAACTCTGCTTTTTAATTCAGCCAAAGGAGGTGGCAAATTAGAGTGGCTGTTCAGCAGCCCTATGCTGTAGGAGGTTTGTTCCACAGGTACCCTGAGCATGAACCCCTAGAAAGCCATCCCACACTACCAGGATATCCCATTTGGGATCTCTCCCATATGGGATGGGTGGTGATTGCTTACTAGAATTGAGGCAAACCTGGGCAGAAGGTGTCATTTAGTGTTGAAAAGGAGGCAGCAACCTGGGGGACAAAAAGAAAATAATCTAATAAATTATAAAGACTGCCTAAGGAAACATATCCAATAAAAACCAAAGCAAGCCAGACAAAGAAGACTGGAATAAATAACCAACTTTTCAATGCAAATACATAGATGTACATACACAAGAAACAACAGCAAGCAGGGGGCTATGACTTTCCCCTGAAAAAAGCAATTCAGTAATTAAAGAAATTTAACGAAGAGATTGAAGTAATAGGATGAAAATCAAACAGAAATCTTGAAACTGAGAAATACATTTGCTGAGTTGAAAAATTCACTGGAGGCTCTCAACAGTGCAATGAATCAGAGGAAAGAATCAGTGAGCTAGAAGATAAGCTATTTGAAAATATATAGTGAAAAGAGAAAAAAAAAAGAATGAAAAGAAACAAAGATTGCCTGTAAGATATAAAAAATGACATCAACTCGCTTGAGCCTAGGAAGTCAAGGCTGCAGTGAGTGATAATTGAACCACTGCAATCCAGCCTAGGTGTTAGAGCAAGACCCTGTAAAAAAGAAAAGAAAAAGATGATAGAAAAAGAAAATTACCTCAAAATACTAAATCTAAGAACAATCAGCATTCAAGATAGACTTGAGCAAGAGCAAGGGGTAGAAAGCTTATTCAAAGAAAGAATAACGGAAAACTTTTCAAATCTTGAGAAAAAGATAAATATCCAGGTACAGGAAAGCCAGAGAACATTAAACAGATGCAACCCAAATAAAACTACCTCAAGGCATATAATAATCAACCTCTTTGTCAAGAACAAAGTGAGGATCCAGAAAGCAGCAAGAGAAAAGAAGCAAATAACATATAACAGAGCTCTAATTGGTGTGGCAATCAACTTCTCAATGGAAACCATACAGGCCAGTGGGGAGGGAGATGACATTTTCAAAGTGTTGAAAGCAAAAAAAAAAAAAAACTCTGCCATTCAAGAATACTGTATTCAGCTAAGTTATCCTTTAAATATGAAGGAGAGATAAAGTTTTTACCAGACAAACAAAAGGTGGGAGAATTCACCACCACCAGACTCATCTTACAAGAAATGCTAAAGGGTGTTCTTCAATCTGAAAGAAAAAGAAAACTAACATACAAAAATAAAAAAAAATGAAGGTATAAAACTCACTGGTAAAACTAAGTACAGAAAAACCCAGAATACTCTAATACTGTAATTGTCAGGTGCAATTCATTCATAACTCTAGTATGAAGCCCAAAAGACAAATCTATTTAAAACAATGATGACTACAACAACCTGTCAAGATATATGACATATAAAATATGCACATTGAGACAACAGAAAGCCAAAATTGGGGTAGAGGGGATGGAGTTAAAGTTTAGAGATTTTTCCACTTTTTGTTTGTTTCTATTTTTTTCATTGAGCTCTAAGATAAGTTGTCAACTATTTAAAATAGTCATACCTATATGATGTTTTTTGTAACCCTCATGGTAACCACAATGTAAACCTATATTTATTCACTAAATGTAAAAAGCAGTAAATTAAAACATGCTACCAGAGAAAAGCACTTAACAAAAAAGCAGAGAAGAAAGGAGTTACAAATCACCCAGAAAACAAGCAACAAAATGGCAGTACTAAGTCCTCACCTATCAGTAATAACACAATGTAAATGGACTCAATTCTTCAGTTAAGAGAAACACAGTGGCCCAATGAATAAATAAATAAGACCCAATTATATGCTGCCTATAGGAAACCCACTTCACCTATAAAGACACACACAGACTTAAAGTGAAGGAGTGGAAAAAGATATTCCAGGCAACTGAAAACCAAAAAAGAGCAGGAGTAGCTGTACATGTATCAGATAAAATAGACTACAAATCAGAGACTGTCAAAACAGACTAAGAAGGTCAGTAGATAATGATAAAGGGATTAATTTAGCAAAAGAATATAAGACTTATAAATATCCACGTACCAAACACTGGTGCTACCAAATATATAAAGTAAACATTAATAGATTTAAAGGCAGGGATAGACTGCAATACAATCATAGTATGGGACTTCAGCACATCATTCTCAGTAATGGACAGATCATCCAGACAGAAAATCAACAAAGAAACATCAGAGTTAAACCACACACTAGATCAAATAGTTCTAACTAACATTTAGAGGACATTTCACCCAACTGCTGCAGAATACACATTCTTTTCATAAGCACATGGAACATTTTCCAGAATAGACCAAATCTTAGTCCACAAAAAAGTCTTAACATATTCAGAAAAGTAGAAATCACAACAACTATCTTTTCCTGACCACAATGGAATAAAACTAGAAATCAACAAGAGGAACCTCAGAAACTACACAAACACATGAAAATTAAACAATATGTTCCTGAATCGCCAATGGGTCAATGACAAAATTAAGAAGAAAATTTAAAATTTTCTTGAAACAAATGAGAATGGAAACACAACATACTAAAATCTCTGGGATACAATAAATGCAGTGCAAAGAGACAAGTTTATAGCAATAAATGCCTATATAAAAAAAGTAGAAAGACTTCAAATAAACAATCCGATGATGCACCTCAAAGACCTAGAAAGGCAAGAAGTCAAATCCAACAATAGTAGAAGGAAAGAAATAATAAAGATCGGAGCAGAAATAAATGAAATTGAGACTACAAACCCCCCAAAATCAACAAAACAAAAGGTGGTTTTTTAAAAAGATAAAATTGAGAAAACTTTTGCTAGACCAACTAAGAAAAAAAAGAGAAGACTCAAAAAAAATTCAGAAATTAAAAAGAAGACAGAACAACGTAGACCTAGAAATATAAAGAATTTTTAGAGACTATTATGAAAGAATTTATACCAACAAATATGAAGACTCAGAAGAAATGGATAAATATCTGGACATATACAACCTACCAAGATTGAATCATGAAATAGAAAACTTCAACAAACAAACAGTGAGTAATGAGATTAAAGCCATTAAAAAAAAAAAGCCTCCCATGAAAGAAAAGCCTGGGACCTGATGGCTTTACTCATAAATTCTACCAAATGTTTAAAGAAGAACTAATACAAATTCTACTCAAATTCTTCAAGAAAACTTAAGAAGAGGGATACTTCCAAAAACTTATGCTATGAAGCCATCATTACCCTAATACTAAAGCGAGACAAGGACACAACAACAAAAGAAAACTACAGGCCAGTATCACTGAAGAACATAGATGCAAAAATTCTTAACAAAGCAAAACAAACTCCAAAACACATTAAAAAGCTGTTTTACCATGATTAAGTCAGATTCATTCCAGAGTTGCAAGGATAGTTCAACACACAAAAATCAAGAAACATGATACATCACAGAAGCAGAATCAAGAACAAATAATTGGGCTGGGCGCAGTGGCTCAGCCTGTAATCCCAGCACTTTGGGAGGCCGAGGTGGGCGGATCACAAGGTCAGGAGTTCGAGATCAGCCTGCCCAATAAGGTGAAACCCCATCTCTACTAAAAATACAAAAATTAGCCAGGCGTGGTGGCGGGCGCCTGTAGTCCCAGCTACTCAGGAGGCTGAGGCAGGAGAATTGTTTAAACCCGGGAGGTGGAGGTTGCAGTGAACTGAGATTGCACAACTGCACTCCAGCCTGGGCAACAGAGTGAGACTCTGTCTCAGGAAAAAAAAAAAAAAAAAAAAAGAATCATATAATGATGTTAATAGATGCTGCAAAAGCATTTTGTAAAATTGGACATTTCTTTAGGAAAAAACCCCATACAATCTGGATAGAAAGGAAACATACCTTAAATTAATAAAGTCCAAACATGGCAAATCCACAGCTAACATCAGACTGAATGCGGAACAATTGAAAGCCTTTCCTCTAAGATCTATAACAAGACAAGTATGCCCACTTTCATCACCTTTATTCAACATAATACTGAAAATCCTGACCAGAGCAATTAGGCAAATAAAATGAAGGGCGTCCAAAATGGAAAAAAAAAAAGTCCAATTAGCCTTGTTCGTAGATAACATAAAATTGTACTTTAAAAAGCCTAAAGATTCCACCAAGAAACAGTGAAAACCAATAAATAATTCCATTTACAATAGCTACAAAATACTTAGGAATCAATTTAACCAAGAAGTGAAACACCTACACAAGAAATATATAAAATACTGATGAGTTAAGTTGAAGAGGATACAAAAAAAGGAAAGATATTCCATGCTCATGGATTGGAAGAATTAATATTGTTAAGTTGGCAATATAATTCAAAGCAATTTGCAGATTCAGTGCAATTCCTATTAAAATACCACTGACATTTTTCACAGAAATAGAAAAACAGTCTTACATTTTTATGGAATCACAAAAGATGCCAAGTAGCCAAAGCATTCCTTAGCAATAAATGACAAAACTAGAGGCATCACACTACCTGACTTAAAAATATACTACAAAGCGCTCTCCCTCTCCCTCTCCCGCTCCCTCTCCCGCTCCCTCTCCCTCTCACTCTCCCTCGTCTCCGTCTCCCGCTTTCCACTCTCTCCCCCTCTCCCTCGTCTCCGTCTCCCGCTTTCCATGGTCTCCCTCTGTTGCCGAGGCTGGACTGTACTGCTGCCATCTCAGCTCACTGCAACCTGCCTGCCTGATTCTCCTGCCTCAGCCTGCCGAGTGCCTGGGATTGCAGGCGCGCGCTGCCACGCCGGACTGGTTTTTGTATTTTTTGGTGGACACGGGGTTTCGCCGTGTTGGCCGGGCTGGTCTCCAGCTCCTGACCTTGAGTGATCTGCCCGCCTCGGCCTCCCGATGTCCCGGGATTGCAGACGGAGTCTCGCTCACTCAGTGCTCAATGTTGCCCAGGCTGGAGTGCAGTGGCGTGATCTCGGCTGGCTACAACCTCCACCTCCCAGCCACCTGCCTTGGCCTCCCAAAGTGCTGAGATTGCAGCCTCTGCCCAGCCGCCACCCCATCTGGGAAGTGAGGAGCGTCTCTGCCTGGCTGCCCATCATCTGGGATGTGAGGAGCCCCTCTGCCCGGCAGCCCAGTCTGGGAAGTGAGGAGCGCCTCTTCCTGGCCGTCATCCCGTCTAGGAAGTGAGGAGCCTCTTTGCCTGGCCGCCCATCATCTGGGATGTGGGGAGCGCCTCTGCCTGGCCGCCCCGTCTGGGATGTGAGGGGCGCCTCTGCCCGGCCACCCCCGTCTGGGAGGTGAGGAGCGTCTCTACCCGGCCGCCACCCCGTCTGGGAGGTGAGGAGCGCCTCTGCCCGGCGGCGACCCCATCTGGGAACTGAGGAGCGCCTCTGCCCGGCCACCACATCTGGGAAGTGAGGGGCCCCTCTGCCCAGCACCACCCCGTCTGGGAGGTGTACCCAACAGCTCATTGAGAACAGGCCATGATGACGATGGCGGTTTTGTCGAATAGAAAAGGGGGAAACGTGGGGAAAAGAAAGAGAGATCAAATTGTTACTGTGTCTGTGTAGAAAGAAGTAGACATAGGAGACTCCATTTTGTTCTGTACTAAGAAAAATTCTTCTGCCTTGGGATCCTGTTGATCTGTGACCTTACCCCCAACCCTGTGCTCTCTGAAACATGTGCTGTGTCCACTCAGGGTTAAATGGATTAAGGGCGGTGCAAGATGTGCTTTGTTAAACAGATGCTTGAAGGCAGCATGCTCGTTAAGAGTCATCACCACTCCCTAATCTCAAGTACCCAGGGACACAAACACTGCGGAAGGCCGCAGGGTCCTCTGCCTAGGAAAACCAGAGACCTTTGTTCACATGTTTATCTGCGGACCTTCTCTCCACTATTGTCCTATGACCCTGCCAAATCCCCCTCTCCGAGAAACACCCAAGAATGATCAATAAATACTAAAAAAATTAAAAATATATATATACTACAAAGCTATAGTAATCAAAACAACATGGTTTACAGTCATAAAAACAGAAACGTAGACCAATGGAACATAATGGAGAACCCAGATATACATTTATGTATTTACAGCCGACTCATTTTTTACAAAGATGCCAAGAACATACAATAGGGAAAGGACAGTCTCTTTAATAAATGATGCTGGAAAACTGGATAATCATATGCAGAAGAATGAAACTAGACCCCTATGTCTCACCACATACAAAAAATCAAATCAATATGCATTGAAGACTTAAATCTAAGACCTATCAAACTATGAAACTACTAGAAGAAATCATGGAAATCCTCCAGGATATTGTACTAGGCAAAGTTTTTTGTGTAAGACCTCAAAAGCACAGGCAACCAAAGCAAAAAATGGGCAGATGGGATTACATCAAACTAAAAATCTTATCACACACACATCAACACAGTAAAAAACCCACAGAATGCAAGAAAATATTTGCAAACTACCCATCTGAAAAAAGATTAATAACCAAAATATATAAGGAGCTCAAACAACTCAATAGTGGAAAAAAACCCAAATAATCCAATTAAACAATAGGCAAAACTTCTGAATAGACATTTCTCAAGAGAAGCCATACAAATGGCCAAGAGGTATGTGAAAAAGTGCTCAACATCTCTGATCATCAGAGAAATGCAACTCAAAACCAAAAATAAGATATCATCTCACCACAGTTAAAATACCTTTTATCAAAGATATAGGGAATAATGAATGCTGGCTAGGATGCAGAGAAAAAGGAACACATGTACACTGTTTTTGGGAATGTAAATTAGTACAGCCACTATGAAAAACACTGTAAAGTTTCCTCAGAAAAACAAAAAATAGAACTACCATTTGATTCAGCAATTTCACTTCTGGGTATATATCCAAAAGATGGGATATCAATATATTGAAGAGATATCTACACTCCCACATTTATTGAAGCACTATTTACAATAGCCAAAATATGAAATCAATCTTTAAGTGTCCATCAATGGATGAATAAAAAATGTGGCATATATACACAATGGAATATTACTCAGCTATTAAAAAGGAAAGAAATCCTGTCATTTGCAGCAACATGAATGAAACTGGAGATAATTATGTTAAGTAAGTGAAGCACAGAAAGACAAATATATTGCATGTTTTCATTTATATATGGGAGCTAAAAAAGTGGATCTCATGAAGATAGAGAGTAAATTGGTGATTACCAGAAGCCAGAAAGGGGAGGGGAGAAGGGGATGAGGAGAGGTTGACTAATGAATACAAATATATAGTTTAATAGAAGACATAAATCTAGCTTTTGATAGATTAGTAGGGTGACTGTGTTCTACAATAATCTATTGTATATTTCAAACTAGCTAGAAGAGAACAATTTAAATGTTTCTAGCATCAAGAAAATACAAGTATTTAAGGTGACTTAAGGTGATCAATTACACTGATCTAATCTTCACAAATTAAATAAATATACAAAATTATCACATGCACCCTCAAAATATTTACATCTCTTCTATATCAATGAAATAAAGAAAACAGAGTTTTTTAAAAGAAGGAAGACTGTAGAAGTTGAAGGGAAGACAGGAACAGATGTGCCAGCTGTCGAGGTTTGACTTCTTAATAGGCTTTAGTTAGAGTCTAATCTTTCCCTAGGATTCCTTTTGCAAATTAGATAAACTATACTGTGTCCAAGAAATAAACTCTACTTTGGCAAAATTCAAATAATATAACCATATTTCTTCTAAATACAAGTGTATAGCATCAGGAATTGGGTATAAATAGAATATTACTTTATCATTCAGGAAAAGAAAAGTTTAATCAGCTGTCAAAAGGTACTGAACTAAAGCTTAATGATTTATATTAGTATTTCCAGATTATATAAACTTAGCATAGGCGGGTATATAAAAAAGTTCATGGAGATGAAAAGTCTATTTGTGGTCCTAATTATTTTAAATTTGAAAATAATGAGCTACATGGAAAGTCAGAACAAAAACAAGCTTAAAAGAAAAGGAAAATGCTGGTTAGGAGGAGAGAGTTTCAGAGAATTAGATGAAATAAATTCAGAAATGTTTTGGGCCAAAATACCATCACCACTGTTGTTTGAATAACAATTTAAATGGCCTTTTCTATTGCCATTATTTATCTCTCTTTTCTCTCTATCAGGAGACAGTGATTTGTCTGAAACATGCTACTACCTTGTTTAAAAAATCTACTATTCTTCAAATTCTAACGAATTAAGTTTGAAATCCATTGCATGACATACAGTCTTACTTTTTAAGATTTATCTCCGATTTATCTCTATTTGCATATATTTAGATGTAAAATAGATCTTCCTGACTGTGCAAGGCACTTTTGCTCTCCCAGGCCTTTGGTTAGGTTATTTTCCAACGCAACAGTGCCTTTATATTCCTTTCATGGCTGGAGGAATCTTACGTATTCTTTAAGGTAAACTCAAAAGTCACTCCCTGTGAAAGGCACTAATTCAAATGGGATTTTTAAAAGTTCTCCTCATTAACCAAGGTAAAGATTTTAAAACATATAAGCTAGTATTTGTAACATACATGTAATATTTGCAAATGAAAACATGGCATGCTTGTATAGAGTTTCTCAATGCAAGAATTTAAGTCATTTAATAAATATAAAGAAAGAATTGTCTGTACCTCCAGAGTAGCTGCTATGGTAACACAAACCTAGCATCTTACAAAACAAAATAAAAAAAAACAGTGGGTGTTATGGTTTGAATGTTTGTCCCCTCCAAAACTCATGATAAAACTTAATTGCCATTGTAACTATATTAACAGTTGGGGTTACTAAGATATTAAGATCATTAAGATATTAATAGGTGATTAGGCTATAGGGCTCTACCCTCATGGGTGAGATTAATACCATTATGAAAAGACTGATTTGGCCCTTTCTTGCCCTCTCTTTGCCCTTTCACTTTATGCCATTTGATAATACAGCAAGAAGGCCCTCACGAGATGCCAGCACCTTAATATTGGACTTTCCAGCCTCCAGAACTGTTAGCCAATACATTTTTATTCATTATAAATCTCCCATTCTGTTTTTGTTTTGTTTTGTTTTGAGACAGAGTCTCGCTCTGTCGCCCAGGCTGGAGTGCAGTGGCGCAGTCTTGGCTCACTGCAAGCTCCGCCTCCCAGGTTCACGCCATTCTCTTGCCTCAGCCTCCCCAGTAGCTGGGACTACAGGCGCCTGCCACCATGCCCAGCTAATTTTTTGTATTTTTAGTAGAGACGGGGTTTCACCGTATTAGCCAGGATGGTCTTGATCTCCTGACCCCGTGATCCGCCCACCTCGGCCTCCCAAAGTGGCATCCTGTTTTATTTTGTTACAGCAGCACAAAATAGACTTAGGCAGTGGGAAAATAAAATAAAATTAAGTGTGACGATATAATCAAAGTACATATTATATTACATGCATGTAACAAAATACCCACAGACACCATAAAAATGTGCAAATATTATATATCTATAAAAATACACAAAAAACCCTGCTTAAATTCCACTGGAGGATTAACATACCAATAGCTCCTAAGAGTACATTATGCTTATCCAGATGTTTACAATGGCCAGAAATAAACTAAGGGCAACTGAAGCAATTCCTTGCTTTTGGAACTGTTAAAAAAAAATTTGCAAGATGTATTTAATTACTGACAATTTTTTTTTTTAAATGAACTCAGACAGATGCAGTTGTTCAGCTAAAGGGCTCGTTGATAGAACTGGTAAGTTATGCTTCACTCTGCTTTTAAAGATGGCTGTTAATGTGACTGATGTTTCTTGCTAACATGGTGAAATATAGTGAATCCTGATGGTTTCTTTAGCAGCTGGGTAGTAAATCTAGCAGCCAATCCAAGTTCTTATTTGTCTTGATGTTTCTTGTTTTATAGCTAGTGTAATGAAAAGCTAAGCATTCAAATAATAGGCCTGCTTACTGAGTCCACTGGCAGGTTCTGATTGGCTGGCAGACAGGCTTCCCTGTTCTAGGAAAGACATGCAAAATCCAGACCTCTTATGTTCTAGGAAAGAAAAATGTTGTTGATGACTGGCCCACAGGCCATAATTAAGAAAGAGTCTGAAGCATGATGGATATATTTTTAAAAATTTATGCTAGCATTGGAGCCATCTAATTCAAAAGTATGAAAATGAAGGCATAAAAGTAAGAGATATATTTTGTATTTGTTACCCTGGACATACCAGGCATTACATATCTGTTGCTTTCTATGAATGATTAGCCCAAAGCATGGCAAAGGAAACACTGAATGATTTATGAACTTATTGTTAGTTTTCATTTTAGATGATATTTTTCCATCAATTATGAAAATGTAAGAAGATATACAGAGCTTTATGCAGGATTATTTCCATAAAGCTTAATGGCTATGTTTTATGATTCAGAATATAAGCATCTTAATCATTGCAATAAATATTTGTAGTAGTATGCAGTTTGGCTCATTTGCTTATTTATTTTTCCTTCCCAGTTTTTTTCATCACCTTTATATTATGCTCTTAGGGACTGTATGCCTGCTAACATCCAAAGAATTCTTGAATGAATTACATACATTAAATACTATCTTTTGTCAGTGTTATTCTAGAAATTTAATTAGAAATGAAAAATATCTTCAAACAGTTTAGAAAAGTGGGTACTTATAAATAATGTTAAAAAGCCATTCTATTTTAGAAACATTGCTTAAGGAAGGAAAAAATCTATATAAAGGCATGATGAGACCACAATTCTTTGGGGGAAGATATGATGGAAAGAAACTGCAAACTGTATGTCATACCAATGGAATTAAATTGAAATGTAATAGTCAATGGTTTGATGGGAAAATAACTATGACATTAAGTTGTATAAAAAGAATGACAGCCTGAAGAAACTATGAGTTTCTATCTTTATAGTTACTACTAATCAGGTTTTATACTGAAGTCATGATTGATTTGCATTCTACAGTTGATTTGTGATAGGAAAAATTTGCAATGAAATTTAAAGAACAGTCCATTTACTGCTAATTTTGGGGGAAATTTTCTTGTGTTATACACCACAACAAAATGAATCCAGTAGTGAGATTGGAGTGGTCACCCAAAGCTGATAGAGCAGTTCATTCTTTTAAAATTTATAAGATTCCTTCTATCTCAGGTATTTCTAGTTCCTCTAGTATTTAAAAGTATAGATGTTAAGAGGATCACTTCAGCACTTCTGGAGGTCAGAGATATTACTTATCGAATTATCTTAAGCATTAAAAAATATATAGAGAGATAAAGGATCTCACTATATTGCTCAGGCTAGTCTTTAACCCTTGGATTCTAGCAATCCTCCTGCCTTGACCTTGCAAAGTGCTGGGGTTACAGGCATGAGCCACCATGCCTGGTCACTTGAAGCATTTTTAATTGAATTGTATATATTGTACAAGATCAATAAAAATTGTTCATTTATAAACTAACTAGAAATATTGAATGCTGAATGCTTGTTGAGGGTCATATAGTCTGTGGTGGATATACTCTGTATATTATTAGTAATTTATTACTGTGGAATAAATCGTCCCGACATTTAGTATCTTAACAAAACATTTATTATTTCCTGGTTTCTGTGTGTTAGGCATCTATGGGTGGCTTACCTGGGTGCCTCTGCCATAAAGTCTTTAACAAGACTGTAATCGAGATGGCAGACAGGGCAGTGTTCTCATCTGAAGGCTTGACTGGAGGAGATTCAATTTCAAGTTCGTTTGTGTGACTGTTGGCAGGACTCAGTCCTCCATAGGCTTTTGGACTAAGGTCTCAATTCCTCACTGGCTGGTGGCTGGTAGCCTCCTTCAGTTCACAGCCACATGAATTTCTCCATAGGGCAGTTCATAAGAGAGTGGCTGCTTTCCTCAGAATGAGTGAATGGGCAGCAACACAGGGCATCAAGATGGAAGCTACAGTCTCTTTTTAACATAACCTTGAAAGTAACAATCATTTCTGCATATGCTGTTAGTTAGAAGTGAGTTACTAATTCCAGCCTGCACTCAAGAGAAGGGTATTACACAAAGTCATGAATAGCAGAAGGTGGGGATCACTGGGGGTTATCTTAGAGGTTGCTCACCATGTGCCCAGTTATACGTGAAGAAATACTCAGAGTTTTAGTAACATTTTTAAGCAAAATGAGTAGTACATTTAGGAACTGGAGTCAAAATTGTTATCTTATTGATTTCAAAGTCCAGAGTATTTACATTGCAATACATTGCACTCCTATGGTAATAAAAAAATAAGTTTAAATGATCTGAGGAAGCACTGGAACAAGTCAAAGAATCAATATTAATAAGATTTTTTTTCAAAATGAGCTAGGTTGTACTTTAAGAGGTCATCCCAAACATGAATGTACTATTTGTATTTGTAGATTAGAAAAAAGCAAATGTAGAAGGATGACAGGATTGTGTAGATAAATATTTCATATAAATCCTACCCATAAATACTAGAAATTAATACATAAATTTTGTTTGTTCAAAAAATTTAAAAAATTAAATGAATTTAAATTTCCAGCAACAAATATTTAGAAAATAAGAGTACAACATTATTCAGAGTGGCATAAGAAATCAAACACCTATCATGAAATATGAAATGCCTATGATCAGCAAACTACCAACTTCAAGAGGACAATCATAAGAGGAGTGATATACCATGCTCATAGTTTCAACGACTATATTGTAAAAAAGCTAATTCTTCTTAAATTGTTTTATAGCAAAACAATTAAATTGATTCCAAATCAATTAAATTGTTCGAATTGATACAATTCATTCCAAATCTTAATTTGAATGCTTTTTGAGTGTGTGTGTATGTTTGTGCAAATTGATCATCAACTGTTATAAAATTTACATGGAAATGAAAAGGTCCCAGAATGGCCAAGATTACCTGGAAGAAGGATAATAATTTGGAGGATTTACATTTAATGTGAAGATCATAAACCTACAATGTGGTATTGGTGCAAGGTTAGCCAAGTAAACCAAAGGTACAAGTCTAAAAAACAGACCAACACACACATAGTCACTTGATTTTTAATGATGGTAGTGCTTCAGGGCAATGAAGAAAATGGTACTGGGTTATGGTACCATTTTCAGTAAATGGTACTGGGTTAATTGGATATTCATATGAAACAAAGTGAATCACAGCATACACAAACATTAGTTTGTAATCTAAATGTGAATTTTAATGCAATAATCTTTTAGAGGAAAGCTTAGGAAGAAATTTCACGAATTTGAATTTGAGATCGGCAAAGATTTCTCTAAAGCAACACCATGGAAAGATGGTTAAATTGGACCACAAAAAATTTAAACCTTCTGTTAATCAAAAGACACCACTAGGAAGTGAAAAGACAAAGTGGAGGCAATATTTACAACATTTACAACGGACAGGAAACAGGTATCCAGAATCTGTAATGAACTTCTTACAAATGAATAAGAAAAGACAGGCCAATAAAAAAAATAGGCCGGGGAAATGAACAGGTACTTCATAAGACGATATCCTAGTGGCAAATAAATAGATAAAAAAGGTAGATTAACCTCATTGGTAATCAGAAAAATCAAAACAACACACCTAAAGAATGATTAAAATTAAACAAAATTAGACTGACAATCTTAAGCATTGGCTTATTAGTCCATTCTCACACTGTTATAAAGAAATGCCTGAAACTGGGTAATTTATGAAGAAAAGAGGTTTAATTGGCTCACGGTTCCACGGGCTGTACAGAAAGCATGGCTGGGGAGGCCTCAGGAAACTTACAATCATGGCAGAAAGTGAAGCTGGCACATCTTACATGGCCCCAGCCAGAAGAAAGAGAGTGAAGGAGGAGGTGCTACACACTTTTAAACAACTAGATCTTGTGAGAACTCACTATCATGAGAACAGTGAGGGAAAAATCTGTCCCCATAATCCAGTCATCTCCCACTAGTTCCCTCCTCCAACATTAAGTTTCACAATTCAACATGAGATTTGGGTGGGGACCCAAATCCAAACCATATCAATTGGCAATAATGTAAACTCATAGGATTGTACTTTAGTGAAATCACTTTTGAAGACTCTTTGGGCATTATTTACTAATGGTGAACACATGTTTACCAATGACCCAGAAATCCTAGGTTTACAACGAGCAGAAATGGAACATATGTGCACCAAAATAAATACATTAAGATGTCCATAGCAGTATAATTTTAATAGCCCAAAACTGGAAACAATTCAAATGTCTACCAAAGTAAAATGGGAAAATAAATATGCTACAGCAATGAAAAAAGATTAAACTACTGCTACTCAAAACAACACATTACCCTACAAACATAATCCTGAGTGGCAGAAGCCAGACATAAAATAATATATTCTGTATGATTTTATTTATACAGCTCAAAAAGAGGTAAGAATAAATCTCTGGTGTTGGAAATCAGGATAGCAATACACCTTGACGAGGAGGAAAGGGGGATTCTGGGATTTTGGAGTTGGTCTATTTCTTGATCCTGATGGTGGTTACATGGCTATTTACACTTTGTGATAATTCATTGAGCTGTATATTTATTTGAAAATATTAACACTTATTTAAAAATATTTAAAAGTCTGATTAATGGAATTGGATATGTATTTTTTAAATCTAAAATGTTAAAGGTCCAAAAATTAAATGGAGTGAATATTATAAAATGAATTTTAGGTTACACAAGCTTTTATTGACAATTATATAGATCTGAGCTCTGAGAACAAACTTCTTAATAAATTTACCAATGCAAATATATGGATGGGGCATGGAAATGATTACAATGACTAGAACAGTATAATATCTTTTGTGCAGAAGTAATAGGTGATTATAAGAAGATGTTATTATAAAAAAATAATTTATAGGCAAAAAACTAGGTGCTGGTGATGTTTCATTACATTTTAAATATCTCAGAAAATAAAAATTTTAAATTAGAATACCAGATAATTATAATTCAGGAACCTGATTTTATAGCATCTCTACAACTCTCTCTTCCTATATGAAAATTTATAATCTGGTTTAACTGAAGAATAAAACTATATAATGGCCAGCAATTTAAGACTCCTATTTGCATAGGGCGTTTTATCTGAACAAAGATGACAAGACTATGTATGTAATTATTAGGATCTGGAGAGCATCCTAAGAATAAGGACAGACCCAACTCTGTTCCTGATATAGGGTCTGAGATGGCAGCAATGAAAACCTGCTCTGTTGCAGCTATCTTAAGTCTAGTTAAGCACAGAATAAAGGAGCCAGTCAATTCATTTGCATTTTATTGTCAAATGTCAATATTTCTTTTATGTGTGACATAATTAAGAAGGGAGTGTGTATCTTCTATATGTTTTATTTACTGTGATTATACCTAATGCATTAGAGTAAGTGATCAATCAGATGTATGACACCTATATCCACACTGTCTTAAAAGAATTAAAAGTCCATGTCAACATCAATAACTAGTATTGTGTTAATTAGATGAATGGGAGGTAGTGGACTACAAGTCTGACACTTGGCCTGTAATCTTGACCATTGTCTAACTGTGTCCACAGGGACAGATCAATTGACATCTGTAAATCTAATTTTTCTCAGTATAAAACAAGGGTATTAGGCTCATTTAAAGAAATGTTTTCATCTGCTCTATAAAGCTATGTGACAGCTGATAATAGGTTTTTACTACCAAAAAGGAAAAAAATTACATAGTCTGTCACTGCCTCACAGCTTTCTAGATCACTGTAAGAAAAATAGAAAGAACATTGAAATATTGGACCTGAAGTCAGGAAATAGAAAATGAATCTCAGTTCTATTCTTACTAGCTTTGAGATGATGAGAAAGTCACCACACTTCTTTAAGCTTTAATTTTGTTCTCTTTAAAACTTTTACCTCTAAAAGCACTCACTTCAGAGCAGGATCCCAAAAATTGTTAACTCAATCTCAATACAACATATTTACAAGTGAAAAAATGTATTCTTTTGTATTTCCCCCCCTAGAAGGTTTTTGAGGAAATTTACATCATCCTTACCAGCTTTTCTACTCTTTACTAGCTTAATTTATCATTATGGATAAGAATTAGATTCTACCTCTCTTTGATTTAAGTCTCTAAATCTTCACATTTTCAAATTTGGTGAATATTTCTGGTATCTAACTTTTCCCCTCATGTTATAGCATATTCAGTGAGATGCATCATTTTAGGTTACCCATTTTTCCCCTGTAGCAAACTCAGGACTACTATTGCATGCAATTTGTATAATATAAGCTTTGATACATGCAATGTTCATTTTTTTAAAAAATCTCTAACTAAAAGCATGTTAAAGTAAATTAACTAGCAGAAACTTACTACAAATGTGCTGGAAGCCAGGATTGCAGCAAGGAAGTTGATGGAATTGTTCCTTTGGTTTAGGATATTGGCTGCTCTGCGGACAAATCACAATTTCTGTCTCTCATTTAAATTCTTGTGAGATAATCTGATTGGTGTCACTCAGCCAATAGACTGGATGCCCTTCAGTCAGAGTCCAACACTGGAATAAAAGCTGAGATCTGGGTGGTGGAGTAAGTGACAGAAATAAGGCTGTATGAGATGCCCAGGAATAGTTGGATGGGACGGTACCTAGAAAAAGGGGCCATGAATAGGAGTATATTCTCTGAGGAAGGAGTTCAGCAAGTTATCATGTCTTTATGTGCCCACTGTCATGCAGTGCAACATGAAGTTGAAATGTGTTTATAGTTTACCCAAAGCTAAAAATACAAGGATGCTAAAAATGATAATTGTAGACTATTTGTGATGTCTGGATTGCAAATTTCAACTCTGACTACATATGTTTTAGAGTTTAGATAGCAAATTATTTCTTACTGTAATGATTCTATGTTCTGCCATACATGTGCCATTAATGATTATATCTTCCACATTTATTTCATTTCATCATGTAAGAAATTGGACACATATACATAAATTTCTAAGTTAAAATTTATCTGAGACTTTAAGGTCTTCTGTCTTTTTTCATAGGATTTATTAATTTTGAAGAAAGCATAAAGTACTTCAAATTTAAAAGGACATGGCTAAAAAACTAAATGAACTATATGTATCTGAATTATTTCTTAAACCAAAGGCCAATTTAAAGTGATAGTCTAAGTTGAATATATTACTTGCATTTATAATTTTACCAGTATTCATATATATGTGCATCTAGTATCTGTTTGATTTTGAAATATAGGGAAATAAAATGAAATTGATTTTTTTAAGTGTGTAATAATATGCCACTCCAAAATAAGCCACTTTGGCGTGAGGATTATTTTGAGCTAAAGGCACCTAAAAAACAGCAAGTACAAGAAGGTCACTCTGACCTCCCCTTTTTTTTCCCTAAAAGCAGGAGACAGAACTCCCATATAGAAGATATTCTCATCATTCTAGAAAGAAAATAACATTCTCATTAGCAGAGATGGGGACTCAGAGTTGAGAAAAATCTGTACAAACAAACCTTGTTAAACTAACCCTTATCTTCCTAGTTCCCTTTTCACCATTAACTACCCTAGCCCAAGTCCTTCATCTTGTCACATTTTCGTAATTTACTACTCAGTGTCCAATTCAATATAGAAGCATTCAACTCTAACTCCTTCTTTGGGTCTTTATTTCCACATGATGGCTTCCATGTCATGTAAAACTAAAATTTATACTCAGTAAATGTGTATACTTTTCTCCTGTTATCTATCTTATGTCAATTAATTCTCAGGCCCAGCTGAAAACCCTAAAAAGGTAGAGATAAAATTTTTGCCTTCACTAAACTGTTTTTCTAAGGATGGTTGTGTAAAAAAATTTTTTTAAAATTATATGTGTGTATGTATATATATATATGTATCTCCACAGTTTATCACCAAAATGTTGGCTTCCATTATCCAATTTAGACGTGACCTAAATAACTCCAATCAAAAGAGCAAAAAAAAAAAAACAAAAAAAAAAAACAAAAAAACCCCTTCTCAAAGAAAAAAAAAAACTAAAAAAAAACTTTTCTCATAGCTACCAGCTAACAATGATGGCAACATTTTGCCTCCTGTGTTGCCCTTTAAAAGGGCAATAGAAAAAGGCGTTAGAGTGAAGGAAGAAAGCTTGCTGCTGAAAGACAGGAATGCTGCTTACTGTAAGCCTGGACAGCCCTAGTTTTCTCCATTCCGGGTCATGCTCTGAAGTGGGGCTGATGGCGAAATGTCACATCACCAGAGTACCCGCCTAGGGGAAGTACACCATGCTCATCACCCCATCAGAAACTTGGCCATTCCCCAAACTAGCATAATCTTAGTGAGGCATTTCCTGGGCACAAAAGTGTCTCATCTGCCACACCAAATTTGCAGATGCAATTTTTCCCCGTGTTTCCCTTGAAAAGAGAGTAGTAGTTATGAAAGCCACCAAGAAGCATAACATTCCAGGGAATATATATTTTTTCACTCAAGTGCTTTGAAAAAAGGTCTTAAGGTGGGTGAATTTAGGAAAAACTATTATATGTCAGAATAAATTATTACATGAATCAGAACTCAGAGCATAGTGTCCGAATTACTACTGTTAGGTATAATTGTTACAGATTCCAAGTTTAAAAATACATTCTAATTTATTCCTTTAAAAAATTTTTTTTACATAATTCTTTGTGACTCTTTTTTGAGAAAAAAGAAAAGATCTTTTCTGCCTTTAGAGTAATACATAACAGAAAACCTTTTGATAGTTTTGAGAAATGGTAAGCATAATATCCAAATTACAGCAGTTCTCATTATAATGGCACTGAATAATCACCTCATTAGTAGTGATTATCTTGATATTAACAGCAGTTCCCGACCTACAGATTTTTTTTGGCAAATGTTTAGTATGATTTGCAACAATGTGCAAACATTTTTTACTATATATTTTTTTACTTCTCAGTATTGAAGGAATTAGTTGGATGAAGATTTATGAGATATTGGATAATGTGAAATGTATTGACTGTCAGGAATCTTGTTTCAAGGAACTGCACTCCTTAGGAGTATGTGTGTGTGAGTGTGTGTGTGTGTATGCGTGTTTGTGTGTGTGTGTGTGTGTATCTTTCTTCATCATTTATTTTCTTGCATTATTATATTCTGAATCAAATTGCATTCTGGAAATGAATACTAGCATTAGGAGAAGCATTGCATTTTGATGGTGAATGATTTTGCAGAAATTATACACGGTTGATGGTAACTCTGTCAGTATTGTTGAAGTGTTTTCCTATATTTAAAATTTTAAGTTAGCAAATATTGAGAGTCAGAAATTCCTTATCCTCCCATTTTCCACTGTGTGTTTGTTTAAAACCCTCACTTCAATAATCCAAATTTCCCTTTGTTCATTGCCATGAAAGGAATAACTTGATGAACAAAATGAGCCAACATTTTGTCGACTAAAGACATTTTTCCCTTTTTGTGTGCCATCATTTTTCTTAATTTAAATAACAAAGCCATTTAACTGGATACTTTTTAAAATTGAGAGATAAAAAGCACTATTTATTAGCTTTAAAAAGTATTGCTTAATTCTTTATCCTCGTCTAACAAAAGATGGCTCTTTTGCCTTGGTCAATATTTTAACACACTTCTTTATTATGTTATTATTTGTGATCTGAATTAAGTAAGAAATTTGCAAGAAGAAAAAACCTCAGAGGTTAAAATATTTGATTGTTGCGTTTTGAACACATTTTAAACATGCTAGTTGTTAGAAGCAAAAATCAAGAATCAAACCTTTATTCTTTGAAAACTACTTAAAATAAAATGTTTTTATGAGTCAAATTAGTACTTTGGAAAGGACTCTGGAATGCTTACATCATACATAAACCACAGAGTCATCGCCACATTGGTTGAAATGAATACTTATTGTGTGGAAAGTGTTTTGGAACAAATGTGTTAGAAAAATGCATTTCAGGGAGATAGCTGGCAAAGCAACTTAGTGTTATATAATCAGGACTTCTCCTTAAATGCTTTTTTATTCTACCTATTCTATTATATAAAATCTAAAAATGTCTCTTTGAAGAACCAATTCATTATATTTCCTTTTATACTTCTTTTGGATATAAGATGACAAGAATATCAAAGTTCTTGAAAATAGGGAACATCTCAAACATAGCTCTTTAGGTGGTTTCACTAAAGATTAGGTAACATTCTGCCAACTTCAGAAACCCATCTGATTTAGAAAATCATCCCATGGCAGAGTAGTCTGTATTCATGATGACAGAATTCTCTGAGCTTCCCTTTCACACCTTCTGCTTCCTAGTTTCTTGTGACATTTTTTTGAGGAAACCTAGCAAGAATAAAGTTCAACATAGGAAATCTAAATGATGAATCATATGATGCCTTTTAGAAAAGAACCAATAGTTCCTTCTAGAGGAAGACTATGACCAGGCTATTTGCAAACAGGGTGTCATAGACTGTTTGCTTTCTTTCATCTCAATGATACAAGAAATATGAATAAATGCTGGTGATATTTCAGGAACAATTAGCAAACACTAAACTGTTTAAGTGTTACATGTAAGCAAGGAAGAGATCACAATGCCAGAGGAGATCCCACAAGATCAATGCTTTCTAGATGCTTTTATATTTAACAAACTGTGTGGAAAGCAGCATTAGAACATTGAAGCCTATCTGTTATATACATTTATAAATTAAGTTGAATCGTAGTTCTATTGATGCAGACAATTTGTCAGCATTTAAAAATTAAGACTTTTGGTACACTAGTAATAAAAACACAACTTGTGCTCTGAAGTGAAAAGTTACAACATTCAATCATTGATTTTCTGCCTCTTGTTGGAATGAGACTGACTGAAGTCTGAACAATGCTGCAATTGAAACATCAGTTCTCACAAAATACATCCCGTTTCTCCCAGGGATGAGCATGTCGCTCCAGGTCTGGGTTTTCTTACTTTTTTTTCAATGCTTAAATATTCCTCTGTCAATTAAAGGATGGATATGTGCTCAAGTAGGCAAGTAGGCATGGCAAAATTGCATAGAAACCAGACAGAACATTAATATTCCCACAAAGCAGCAAGAGAGAACAGGGAGCTTTTCCTGCTTTGATTAGTTACAAGAGTTGTGGCAAGATGTGCTTTAAATTATTGGTTTCTCTTAATGTTTTCTAGTTCTCTATCATTTTCTTTCTATTCTTCCTGGGGACAGTTTTATACAAACACAAAAAACTATAACAACAACAAAAAAAACCTACCCAACCCCAAACTCTGATTAGGCTGACGATGTTCTTTAACTCAGTATTTTGATTTCTAATAAATGTAATATTAAAAATTTTCCTTTGTACAGCAAATTTACATTAGGGATTGGGCATAGGCAGCATTATTATCTTCATTTTGATTTTTGGAACATTTCAGAAGATTCTGATACTAATTGGATAATAATAATAAATTCAGAGTAAATTTGTGCTTTTGGTCCATATGATGCTCAATATGCTATTGCAATTTAATATCCATTAAATTATATGATTTTTCATTTCTTTCATTTTATATATGAAGAAAAATAGGGCCCCTCCAGACATTCATTCTTGTTGAGAAAGGGATAGTTGAAGTATCATTCAAAATATACATAGTTCTAACACTTAAATTACTTGCTGAAGAAAAACAATCATCCACCCGAGCAACCAACCAACCGGCCAACCAAAAGACCCTTTGTGAGAATATTAGAATGATTATTTACTGGTGTGTGAACTCTATACAAGGAACTCCAACTCCTGAACCTATTTCTTTATCTCCGAAAGAGAAATAAAAATTATAATAGCATCTACCCTATTGAATCGTTGTGAAGAGTAAATGAGAGAAGACATGCAAAGTAAGTGATACACAGTTTGTGTTATGGACTGAATGTTTGTGTTCCCCACAAATCATAGGTTGATTCCATAACCCCAAAGTTACAGCATTTGGAGACGGGGCCTTTGGGAGGTAATTAGGGTTAGACAAGTTCACAGGGGTAGGGCCCTCATGATGGGATTAGTTCCCTTATAAAAGGAGACACCAGAAAGTTTTGTTCCTTCTCTATTTCTGTGTGTATGCAAAGAGGTTATGTGAACACATGCGGAGATGACTGTGACCTACAAGCCAAGGGAAGAGGACTTAGAATAAAACCTACCTTGCTGGCACCTTGATCTTGGACCTTCCAGCCTCTAGAACTGTGAGAAATAAATTCTCATTGTTTAAGCTGTTCAGTATATGGTATTTTGTTATGGCTACCTTAGAAGTCTATGTTAGCTAGGACGATGATCATAATCATGATCATGGAATAAAGTTATCTAGACTATGTGAAGGCCCTAGTCTCCATTGCTCCTTGATTCGTTACTTTATTATGCTAATTAATGATATATTATAAGATTCTCTGAGAGGAAGTACTTATTTTATTTACTCTTCTATCTTCTGCAATGTATAATACAAGTTCTGTGTACAGTAGATGCTAAAATTACAAATAAAAATCTGACTTTATGCTAACTTGAAGATTTGATTAGATAGGATTTCTTCATGATCTACCCCACAGCCATTCTCTGTTTCTACTTTGTTATTATCTTAGTCATACTTTCATACATATTATAAACTAATTTTACATCAAATTTTATAGAAAAAAGATGTGTGCCATATTTTCTGTGTGTGAATTTGTGTATTGCATTTTAACTGCAAAAAAAAGATGTATGCTCTTTGGCTGCAAAAAAGATGCATGCTCCTTTATCAGGGTCAAATGAAAATAGCTGCAGTTGTCTAGATGTGAATGCATGGCAATGGCATACACAAGCCTTGGCTTATAAAACGTTTTTTCTTTGGATGATTACAGCCTACCTGCAAAGCTGATTGAATTTAAATAATGGAGGAATAAATATTCTAAATATTTCATTAGCTCCTCACTGTGTAAATGATAGAAATGAAAAGCTATGTCCTATCTAATATATGGGTGTGGTAGTAGCAAAAATAAACAATTAGATGAAAGTGCCCTATTTATAGAAAAACTGATGTGCCTCACTTGTATAAAATGTGACAGTAGATTATGAAAATATTTTTATTCCAAATCTCAATTATGGCTAAAATCAAATGCTCAATTTTTTTGCCCTTGCTTTCCTACTTTTTAATACCGGCTAAGTCCAAGATTATTGTGGGCTAAGAAAGAACTCATCAGGAGGCCTGTGTTCTCACCAAAGAATATTCAACTAACCATCAATAGTTCACTATCAGCAACAACCACCACAAGCATAATATTTATTGGAGGTTTTCTGTGAAAATGCACAATGAAGGGCTATGGAGATAGAAATTTAATTTTCATAATAGTTCAATGATAATTATCCCCATTTACACATAAGAAACCTAAGGTGTAGAGAGATTAAATAACTTGTCCAATTTCACACAAACTACAAATTGATTTCAACCGGGACTGTGTGTTGGTAAATGCTATCCACAAAGAGCAAGCTGTCTAGTACAGAAGGCAAAATGTGCATATAAAAAGTTCTCAGAAAGAGGCCAGGCATGGTGGCTCACTCCTGTAATCCCAGCAGTTTGGGAGGCTGTGGCAAGTGGGTCACGTAAGGTCGGGAGTTTGAGACCAGCCTGGTCAATATGGTGAAACCCTGTCTCTACTAAATGTTGTGGTGGCGGGTGCCTGTAGTCCCAGCTACTTGGGAGGCTGAGGCGCGAGAATCGCTTGAACCTGGGAGGCAGAGGTTGCAGTGAGCCCAGATTGCACCACTGGACTCCAGCCTGGGTGACAGAGCGAGACTCCATCTCAAAACTAAATAAACAAACAAACAAACAAACAAATAAATAAATAAAATCCAACAAAGAAGGCAGGGATTTTGCTTATTAGTGTTCCCATTGCTGGAAATAGCTCCATCCAGGCCACTTAGAACCAGGAATACTGTATTGGGCAGCAATATTCTTTTCTTCTTTTCTCTTTGCAAATATGCATAGAATACAGCTACAGAAAATAATTAAATGGGAAATACATGTTTAGTAAATTTGTGAATTATATGTGTAAATTATAATGCCTTCTAAGCAAATCTCAATGTAGACAGGCATTATAGCATAGTGATTAAGACCACAATCATAGAAGTCAATCTGCTACTTATTAGCTGTGAAGCCTTGGGCAAGTTACTTACCCTCTATGGGCATCAGTTTTCTAACCTATAAAATGGGTATAATAATGGTACCTCCTTATCCAGTTGTTATCACAGGATTAAATGAGGTAATAATATTTGTAGAACACTCAGCATAATGCTTGGCATATAATACTCAATAAAAGTTCATTGTAATATCATCATTACATCTATATAAGACATGGAAAACATAGAATCTTGGTTTTGTTTGTTTGTTTTTTAGTTTTAGTGTTTCTCCCCAAGTTGTCAGAAACCAATCTAAAGAAAACCTGGATCCTTTAGTTTCCCAGAACAAGTATCATTTACTTTCCTCTTTTGTTTTTGTGGCTCTTTGCTTTTTCTAGTTAATATCACTTTCCTTTCTTCTCCTTTGCAACTGACCTATTAACCTCTTCCTCTCTCAGGGAATAAAACAATCCAACAACTATGACGATAAAAGCAACCTCTCTCTGCAGCTTACTCTTTCTCAGAATCCTGCAGCACAAACTTGACCACCTCTCTTAATGGCGGCCTTTGAATTCTCCCTCTCCTACTCCTCAGATTCTCTGTGGCACGGGATGAAGGTCCATGGGAAGGCCACTAAAGTGCTGAAGTAAGCCAAAGTTATTTCCAATGAGTCTTGTAAGAAAGGGAGGAAGTGATCTGAGCAAAAAGGAAAGGGAAGAGCATTATGGAAAGTGAAAACATCAAAAACAAATGTGCTGCAATACATTTCACTCTTGATAGTTCCTTTGGAAAGAACCTTCTCTGGTAATTGTTGGGCAATGTCACAGCTTTTGAGTGCTATGACTCTTCTAAAGATTTTTGTAAAAATGGTTGTTATTCTTATGAAAATTGTACAATTTATAGTCCCATCAACTCGGGATAGGTTTAGGGCTAACTCTAGGCAAACAGTTAAATATGAATAATTACCGTTAATATTTTTGAAGTTTCATTTTTATTTTTGATTGACACATAATAATTGTACATATTTATGGGGTGATGATTTTATATACACCCACAACATGTGATGATTGAATCATGGTAACCAGTGTATCTATCACCTTAAGTAGTAAAATTTTTTTTGTGGTGTGAATGTCCAAAAATCCTCTTCCAGCTATTTTGTAACATACAGTACATTATTGTTAACTATAGTAGTTTTACTGTCTCATAGGACACCTGAACATATTCCTCATATCTAACTGTAACATTGTACTTACCGACCAATCTTTCCCCTCCCCTATCTTCAGCCTCTGGTAACCACTACTCTATTCTCAATTTCTACAAGATCAACTTTTTTTTAGATTCCACATATAAATGTGATCATGTGGTATTTTTTTTTGTGCCTGGCTTATTTCACTTAATATAATGTCTTTCAGGTTCATCCATGTTATTGCAAATGACAGAATTTCATATTTTTTATGGCTGAATGGTATTCCATTATATATATTTTATATATGTGTGTGTGTGTGCGTGCGTGCATGCATGTGTATGCATATAACACTTCCTTTATCTATTCATCTGTTGATTCTACATTTTGGCTATTGTGAATAGTTCTGCAATAAACAGGAGAGTGCAAATGTCTCTTTGACATGCTGATTTCATTTTAATTGGAGATAAACCCAGTAGTGGGATTACTGGATCATATGGTAGTTCTATTTTTGAGGAACATCTATCCTGTTTTTCATAGTAGTTGCACTAATTTACCTTTTCACCAAGAGTATGGAAGGGTTTCCTTTTCTCTACATTCCTGCAAGCATCTTTTACCTGTTGTGGTTTTGGTAATTCCAACAGATGTGTAGTCATCTCTTATCGTGGATTTGGTTTGAAATTTCCTGATGATCAGTGATGCTGGAAATTTTTTAAACCTATTAACCATTTGTGTATCTTCTTATGAGAAATGTCTGTTTAATTTTTTTGCCATTTTAAAAATCTAGTTATTTGTTTTCTTGCTATTGAGTTGTCTGAGTTTCTTATGTATTTTAGATATTAATCTTTTCTCAGATTTATAGTTTCCAAATATATTCTCCCATTCTGTAGATTGTCTCTTCACTCTGTTGATTGTTTCCCTTGCTGTGAAGAAGCCTTTTAGTTTGATGTAACCCCATTTGTCTACTTTTGTTTTTGTTGCTTGGGCTTTTGAGGTCTTATCCAAAAAAATCTTTGTCCAGCCCAAGGTCATGAAGCATTTCTGCCATGTTTTCTTCTAGTAGCCTCATAGTTTCAGGTCTTACATTTAAGTGTTTAATCCATTTTGAATTGATTTTCATATATGGTGAGAGATAAGGGTCCAATTTCTTTTTGCATGTGGATATGCAGTTCTCCCAACATCATTTATTGAAAAGACTGTTCTTTCCCCCATTTGTGTTCTTGGCACTTTTGTCAAAAGTCAATTGATTATTAGTATATGGGTTTATTTCTGGGCTTTCTATCCTATTCCATTGGTCTATGTCTCTTTTTATGCCAGTACCATGCTGTTTTGATTACTATATCTTAGTGGCATATTTTGAAGTCAAGTAGTGTGATGCCTCCAGTTTTGTTCTTTTTACTCAAGATTACTTTGGCTATTCAGGGTCTTTATGGTTCCATATGAATTTTAAGATAGTTTTTTCTATTTTTTAAGATAGTCTTTGACATTTTATTGAGGATTGCATTGAATCTGTATATACTTTGGGTAGTATGGACATTTTAACAATATTAATTCTTCCAATCCATGAATGTGAGGTATCTTTTCATGTATTTGTGTCTGCTTCAATTTCTTTCATCAATGTTTTACAGTTTTCATTGTAAAGATTTTTCATCTTGGTTAAATTTATTCCTAAGTATTCTATTTATTTGTGGCTATGGTGAATGGGATTTTTTTAATTTCTATTTCAGATAGTTATTAGCATATAAAAATATTACTGTTTTTTGTGTGTTGATTTTATATCCTGCAACTTTAGTAACTTTATTAGTTCTAGCAGTTTTCTGATGAAGTTTTTAGGGTTTTCTATGTATACAAGCTTATGTCATCTGCACATAGGAACAATTTAACTCCTTTGTTTCCAATTTGAATGCTGTTTTTTTTTTTTTTTCTTGAGACAGTGTCTCACTCTACTGCTCAGGCTGGAGTGCAGTGGTGCCATCACGGCTTACTGAAGCCTTGACCTCCCAGGCTCAAGTGATCCTCCCACCTCAGCCTCCTGAGTAGATGGGACTACAGGTATGTGCCATCATGCCCAGCTAATTTTTAAAAATATTTTGTAGAGACAGGGTCTCCCTATGTTGTCCAGGCTGTTCTTGAACTCCTAGGCTCAAGCAATTGGATGCCTTTTATTATTTTCTCTTGCTTAATTGCTTTACTTAGGACTTCTAGTACTATGTTGAATAGAAGTGGTGAAAGGATACGTTCTTGTTTCAGGTTTTAGAGGGAAAGCTTTCAACTTATTCTTCTCATTCAGTACAATGCTAGTGTGTGTTTGTCAGATTTGGCCTTCACTGTGTTGATGTACACAATGTACCTGATTTGTTGAGATTTTTTATTGTTTTTATCACCTTTTGTACCTAATTTGTTGAGAGTTTTTATCATGAAGAAATGTTGGATTTTATCAAATGCTTCCTAGCATCTATTGAAATGATATGTTTTTTGTTCTTCATTCTGTTTATGTGATATGTCTTGTTTATTGATTTGCATATGTTGAATCATCCTTGCATCTCTGGGATGAATCCCACTTGGTCATGGCGAGTGATCTTTTGAATGTGCTGTTGGATTCATTTTGCTAGTATTTTGTGGAGGATTTTTACATATATGTTCATCAGGGATATTGGCATATAGTTTTCTTTTTCTTTTTTTTTGTATTCTGTTCTTGTTTTGGTATCAGGATAACGCAGGCCTCACAGACTAAGTTTGGAAGATTTCTCTATTCAATTATTGAAATAGTTTGAGAATTGGTATTATTTCTTCATAAAATGTTTGGTTGAATTCAGCGATGAATCCATAAGGTCCTGGGCTTTTCTTTGATGAGATAATTTTTATTACTGATTCAATCTCCTAAACCATTATTGGTCTGTTCAGCTGTTCTATCTCTTCAAAGTTCAATTTTAAGAAATTAATGTTACAATACTATTAATAGCTATACTATAAGTAACATTATGTTCCATTTTCCAATCATGAAATAATTTTATGTAATATATTATTTGATCCTTAAATAATCCCATTGAAAAGTTAGCTAGCATTAGTATCATTTTGCCATTTTATAATGTGGAATCAGAAGGTTACTGATTTTAAATAAAGCCACTTGACTATTGAATGGTAGATCTAGGATATAAATTCAAGTATTCAGATTTTATTCTCATGCTTAACTACTATCCCTTCAGTGATAACTCAAGAGTGACCAGACATGGGTAGAGCCTGATGTCTTGCCAGATTGATAACAAATGATTGTGGAGCCCTACAGTTTTACAGACACTGTGCTAGACATTGGGGTGAGAACTGTGACCAAGAGAGATGAGATGTTTACCATCCTTAAGTTTATGAAATAGGAGAGAGAGTAAATACAAAGAACAAATTAATATATAGGATATTTATTGATTATGGTAATGCTATCTATGAAGAAAATTAACAGCATGGTAAGACAGAGAGTAACTGGGGGAAGCCATTTATGGTAGGATGATTAGGTGAGATGGTGATGTTGAAAGATGTGAGTAAAGGTGAGAATACAGTTAAAAGATGAGAATATGCTGCTACAGAAAAGGCCAGTGGAAGTGCATTCCAGCCTAAACCGAAACTAGAAAAACTTGGATATAGGAAAATAAATGTTGTCATATGGGACAGACAGTGAACTACTGTAGCTGGATTGTGAGGAGTGAGGAAGAGAGTGATTGAAAGTTGAAGAGGAAACAGAAGCCAAATTATGGAGTAAGTATAAAGGGAGAATTTTGGAAGGTCAGTCCAGTTCACGAAGGCAATCTTAACTGCATTCCAGACTCAATCCACAAGGGTAGACTCCTGGCAACCATGTTTGTATATAATCCCACTTCCTTGGCCAGAGTTCTCATGCAATAAAAATATATTGAACATCTGCTATGTGCACTGTGTAATAGGTGATCAAAACACATGCAGTTGCTGCCCTTGTGCAGTTTTAAAGTTCAATACACGTGTGCCCAGATCCAAGAATGGCCAGTTAGAACTTTTTTCTAGGAATTTGAAACTGGGAACTAGAGAGGGATTTGGTTTCTGTGTATCTGGAGCTATAACATGAACACTAGGAGCTGCTGGAAACCAAATTCTGCCACATCATCTGGGAAGTCCAGAAGTCCAGTCTGCAGAGACAGAAGAATGAAGGACACAGAAAGAGATAAAACTCTCATGATCCCTGTTGGCTTTACATTCATGGATTTTAGTCCTTCTAGAAGCTGTGTTGCATTCAGCAGCCTTGTTCTTTGAGATAACTTATAATCCTGTAATATAGTCCTCATATTTCTAATATGTTCTGAGCTATTTTGTGGTTTTCAGTAAAGTAAATTTAATGTATATTCTAGACCTAACTAGGGCAGGACAGGCTCAGGAAAAATTAGCTCTAGGGCTTAAGCATGACAAGATTTGAGAGTTAGGTGAATAATTTGTAATCCTAGAAGATAAAACAAGCAAGCAAACAAAAAAAAAAACCCACACACCTCTTCACGTGGTTATTAGAAATTTGGAGCATTGGGTGCGGGGAAACACCATTTAAAAAAATGGAAAAAGCACTCCATTGATGATGATTATGGTAGTGATGCTATAGATGATGAGAAGATGCCATGTACTAAGAACTAAATATTTGCCAGATAGGGAATAAATATAGTGTACTTCACTGAAGCATCTGTCAGTCTCTAAATTATCCCCTTCACAAACTCACAAACGCAGTAACAAGATGGACAGATTCCAGTGAGCCATGTTTAAACATGACCTCTCCCCTACATCCACATCTGATGGGAGTATTTATTTATTAAACAGATATTTATTGAGTACCTATCATATATGGAGTGGTGAACCAAACAGATAACATTTCTGCTTTTTTGGGGCTTTTGGCAAAGATAGGACGGTAAAGATAGAATGAGCTAAGGTACTATGCTTGATGCTTCCAGGTAGATTCACCCTAACCCTCCAAAGTAAGTAGTGGTATTCTTATTTTACAGAGAAGAAAGCTAAGCTCTCTTTCCCTAACCAGGGAAATTAAGTTGCTAATAACTAGAAAGTGAATAAAGGGCAAAGGCAGCTGTATCCTAACTCTGAGCCTTTCTGAAGTCTGTGATTATCCTAGTTGCACCATTTATGTCCCATAAGCAGGACACAGAAACATTTAGCTGTGATCTATGGGCTGGAAAGTGACAACTACTGCTGCTGCTAGGATAGGAAGCTTGGCGCTGGACACCTCAATGTACAGCTGGACTGGCAAAGCACTAAACATGTCCATCACCATGTTTGCTAGGAACGGCAAACTATGAAACCTAGAGATGGTCTCCTCCTCACTTCTGTCTTCCAAATTTTGCATAAGTACACCTTATTGTCAGCACCTAGTTTGCACTTAGAACACCAACTGCAAAGGAGTCTGGGGAAATGTAGCTTTCAGGTTTCCAGCCTCCGAATGAATGATAGCACACCAGGAGGAGGGGAGAAATTCTTAGCAACCCAGTGCTTAGTATTTGGCATCCCATTACATTAAGATGCCTTGAATATTTGCTTAGAAATGTGATATTTCATACTGGCAGGTTTGGACATGCAGGGGTTTGTCTGGTGTTGTTTGGGATTTTTCTAGGTTTTGAGTCACTCCACATGTTTTTGCCACACAATTAATTACTTGTACCATTTCAAATTAAAGGAGACTTTATAAAGAGATACCTATGTGCAGACTCAAGAGCGGACTGAAATACCTGGGAGTCAGAAGCCTAAAGTTTGTGTGTATATTTTTTTCCCTGCAGGTTCCCAATAACTGTGTGTCACCTTCAACAAGATCTCTAGCCTCTTTGGGTTTTTCAGCGTTTTCTCCACTGTAACAAGAATAATGGCTCTCGCCACTTCTCTGCCTCTAAGGGTGTTGTCAGAATTAATGAGACATCAGGGTGAAAAGCTTTCTACATTTTTTTCCCCTCAGAGAATGCTGGAAAAAAAAATAGAAGTAATATCTGTATTTTGTGAAGAACTTTTCTTTCTGCATGTCTTCATAACATTTAGAAAAGAGTTTACAGATTTTTTTTTTTTTGAGCAATGGCAATTACCATAGGTGTTACATATAATAAGGGAACTTTATCTGTCAAGAGAAACAAAGGAGAAACTAAAAACTTGAGTCAGAGAAAGTATGCTCCTGGCTTACTCTTTAATGGAATGAGTAGGAGGGCTGAGAAAATCACAAGTAAAATATTACTGTACAGAGAGCATCTGAAAGTAGGAGGAGAAACTACTTAATTAAAGTTGCCACCCTCAAAGTAGAAAAAGAAAAGTGATACTGACTGCTGACAAGTTGCTGAAATGCCTTAGATATACTGGAGAGAGAAGATGAAAGTTGGAGGTCAAAATCTTTGTGCTTTAGGGTTAAACTGCTCAGATCAATGATAATAATATCACTGATCATTATGTTCCATTGGAAGTTAAACTCTAACGAGTTAAAAATGTTCTCAACCATTTAATTAATTATTCAATGAATTGTTTGTTAACATAGGCAACAAGTACTATATCAATTCTCTCACTTCAGTGGAATGCAATACTCTGGATTCTGATGGGTGTTAATGCTGTCAAACATGCACATCTTAATAAGATTTATTCTTGGCCATCTGTAGATAATGACTTTCTAAATAAAGCTGTTCTTGGAGACAGAAAATATTCAACTCTGATATTTATAGTACTGTCCATATTTATAATCAAGTTGCTTTTTTGTTTAGAATCCTTTGTTTTAGGATGTTAAGCATTTTGGAAAATATTGTGGGGGCACATATAATTATTATTTCTTTAGGGTAAAGTACAGCTAAGCAAGGATAGGCCAAATGTCAAAGAGTGGTCCAGAAGTCAGACTGAGAGTTCAATTTCCTCACCCACTGACCGCACTCACTGAATGCCTCTGAAAAACCATGACTAATCACTTCTTCTTTTCAAGTA
Organism: Homo sapiens; assembly: GCF_000001405.40. NCBI lineage: Eukaryota > Metazoa > Chordata > Mammalia > Primates > Hominidae > Homo > Homo sapiens. The sequence goes on from NC_000004.12 coordinate 113,823,468, forward strand.
TCTTATGAGGATATCTTTCTTAAAAGTATTTTATTCAGTTTCAAAAGATTTTTTATTACCTAATGCCTTTTCTCTAACTCAAAACAAATAGTACTTTTCAGTAATCGTTGCCCTTTTCACATCAATCCTTCTCCACATTGGTTGAACAATACTCTTTGGGAAAAAATAAACTGGATAGTACAACATATAGTAAGTTGAATATATAATATCTTCTTCTAATAGGTCTTCACATTTTTGCATCAAACTTGTTGTCTTAAATTCAACATCTTCTTTTGAGTAATAATACTTATGAATAACTTATGGAAAACATTGTTAAAGGTGAAAGTATCATAGAAACAAGAACTCCAGGGCATTTAAATATATCGCGAATGAGGCTTTATAAAGACTATGAATGCTAATTTGTATATCAAATATAAACAGGGTTACTAGTGAAAACAAGGTCCAAATAGGGTAATTCAAAATAGCATATTCATATCTTTTTAAACATCCCTCAGAAAACTATATTTGAAGCAATCAGGATAATCTACATATTTCTTACAAAAATACATTTGTTTTACAAAGAGCAAGATGAGCAATTAAAGTAAAACTATTAAGGATGTTGTAAGTGTCTGGGGCTAAGATTTCAGAATTAGAGTTTGGGATTAAGAAGCAATTTCTTGCATACTAAAGTTGTAAAGGTGTCAATATGAATGTGTGGCTTCCTTGAATAGTGCTCATGTATGCAGAGATCGGTGTTGATAATGCAACTATTATCATTTTTGTGATTTGGTTTGGAAAGGACAGGAAAGGATAATTGTATAAGAGAAGCAATGGTACAAATCAAATGAAAATTCAGATGATCAGCCAGGTCCAAGATGCATGGAGAATGAAGACAGAAACTTGTGAAAGTTTTTGTTTGTTTGTTTGTTTATTTTTAAAAGAGGGATTGATATCTGAGGAAGACCAAGTTACTGGAAGTCTTCAACTTGGAAGTCAAAGAATAAATAGGAAATATGTTTATAGAGAATGTTAGCTAAAATTTTCAGACATTTTAGTTTGCAGGGCATGACAAGATGGAGGGTAAAGCTGTAAGAGTGGGTAGTTGTGAAAGAAATGCAAAGGGAAATTATTGCATTAGTGATCTATTGCTGTGTTACAAATCACAAATTCAGTGGCTTAAGACGATATTAATTATCTCACAGTTTCTGTGAGTCATGAGTCCAGTTACTGCCTAGCTGGATTCTCTTCTTAGGGTCTTACAGTGCTGCAATTAATGTGTTGGCTGGAGTGTGTTCTCATTTGAGATTTGACTGTTGAGGAATCTATTTCCAAGCTCACTCGGATTACTGGAAGAATTTCCTTGCAGTTGTAGGATTGAGGGCTCTGGCCTCTTGTTGGTTGTGAGCTGAAACTGCCTTGAGCTCCTACAGTCAATTCTCATCATTTAGAAGCTATTCGCAGTTCCCAGAGGTCACCTGAAGTTCTTTGCCATATGAGCTTTCCCAACATGGTTTCTTACTTCATCAAACCAGCAAGGAGACATATGCTAGGGTGCCATCCCATCATCTTTGCCATAATCTGTTGGTTAGAAGTAAGTTACAGGCTCGCCCTGTGATTAAAGTTGGGGCGGGGGGTGGATTACACAAAGATGTGAATGCCAGAAAATGGGGATCATGAGTTCACCTTAGAAGCTGTACACCTCAACTGATAAGAGAAAAACTCTCAATATAGTATGACTCTGAAGTTTTCCAACTTAATAGAATGAACCAGTTTCATTCTATTTAGTAATGCAGGGCATTTAGTAAATGCAGGGCAATCACTAAAAAATAACAGAGTACAAAAGTTGACATAGCTGTCTAGTCTGAATCTAAGAAGAGCAGATTTTTATATTTGACTGGTGGAATAAGGCAGGAAACAGCATTTGCCACAGAAAACGAGAACTTAAACCAGGGCTCATGAAACTTGAAAGAATCAGCAGCCTCCACTGCAGAGGCTTCAGGGAAACTGTGGTTAGAACTAAAGAGCAGAGAGATTATTTTGTGAATAGGTTGATATGTGACACATGTTTTTTACCATGGCATGAGTTAGAAAAGCCAGTGGGAAAATGAGATGAAGGACAGCAGAGGGGAATGTAACTTGTAAATGTAAAAGTAGCTTGTGTTACATTTCCATCCATTTCCAGTTCATAAGCATTTTCCTCTATCCTTTCTGTTACTTGTTATATATGTGTCTCTTAAAAATAGCAGGCCTGATGTTTCTGAATCTTATGGCCCTTTAATTATTTGAAGACAAGTTTCACATCTTCTCTCTTTCAGAAAAGGTGTTGTGAGAAAGAGGCTTACTTTTAGTCCAGCATTAAAGGATTTTATATTTTTTATAAAGGATAAATTATTTTAAAAGTCTTAGACAAGGTCTGTCCCCTCCCTGCTGAGCCTGTGCAAACTCTCAGGAGATCCCAGTCACTCTCTCTCCTAATAAGACTTTCTGTCTTCTCTTTCCTAGTTCTTTCTCTCTCTTTCTCAAATTACAGTGTTGCTTTAGGAGGATTGAATATAGAAAGGGTTTGAGGCAAAGGTGGTAAGAAGGATTGTGATGGAGGAGGGAAAGCACAATATTCTCCTTTATTTGTTCCTCCATCTCAAACCTGAGCAGGAAAAACAAAACAAATAAACAAAGCAATGCCAAAACAAAAACCTTTTATTAAAGAGAAGATTACGGAAAGATACCTGTTCTGCATGGTTGGTACTGACAGCTACATCATGAGGGAAAATAATTGCTTTTAAGTCCTTTTCTCTCCCTTCCAAAAAAAGTATACTGGTTCTCAGAAATCCTTGTTAAATAGAGAAGAAAAAAATCGTCTGGTTAGTCAGACTTCAAGGTCAAAGGAGGTATGCCTGGGTGCAACATAAGGAGTTCATATACTGAATGACTCCTTTTAAAATTAGTCTCATTCAAAGTAGCAATTTTCACATAATCATTTGATTAAGTGCTTCAAATAACAAAAATTGGAATGGAATCAACTTCTTAGAAATTTTTTGTTGTTGCTCTATTACTTTGAATATTCAAACGGGCTGTAAAAAAAATCACTGAGATGTTCCAAAAATGAGCTGTGGAGCAGTATCTAGAGATTATGGTCAAGAACAGCCCACATTGGATGACCCTGACTTATTATGTAACACTTGGCTTATCCACACTTGGAATAGTACTTGTTTGGATACCATGTGTGCAGTTATTCTTGCCAGGATGCCAACAGTGTAGCTGTCTTTTAACGAACCCTATACTGGTGGTCTCCAGGTGGTTGAATGCTTCTAACCACTTCAAATGTGTTTGTTTTACAATGCCTAAGTAAATTATTTAATGAAGGATTATGGAATACAACAAAATAGCTACTTGAGGAAAACCAAAACAACATTATGATAAAGTATATACCAATGTTCCTAATAGTTACTTAAGCATACACATGTAGCTAATTATCTATTCTTGACTAATTTGTAATCTCTGTACCCTAGCGTCATTTATTTTTATATTTCATTCATTTAGTAAGCACTTGCAGAATGCTTACTATATGCCAGTCACTGTTCTAGGTGCCTGGGTACAATAAGTGCAACCAAATACAGTCCAGTCATCATGGAACTATTGTCTTAGGTGAAGAGAGGCATACACTAATCACATAAGCATGCTCAAAAGTAAAAATCACAACCCTTCAATTATTACAAAGGGAAGACACATGGATGCTGTTTTCAGAGCACTGTATATGGATGGCTGCTGGTGACTGCGGGTCCTCTTATGACCCTTACAGCTAGGTAGCAAGTTTAAGTCCTCCTGATAGAAGAGTTTTCTCATGCCTGTTCCTGATCTAGTCCATCCCTCAATGCCTTTCAGAGACCTCACCCAAACTTTGAACGCTCAGTTTCTCCATCACTTTTTCCCTAGTCTGAGTAGCTTCTCCATCAAGTCCCTCTCCTTTTGTGTCCTCTGAATCATCTTGTTACTAGGAGCAGAAAAATTCAGGCTTCAAACTGACTTCCAAATCTTTCTGTCTCAAACAGTGGCTGATGACTTCACTCTTTGTAAAGGTCTTTTGGTTGACGGAAGCCATGTGTTAGGAAAAGTGCCTCAGAGTACTACTGAGAAAGCAGAGGGAGAGACAATACTCAGTAAATACACAAAGCAATTCTTTGAGGTGTAACCCTACCATATTAGTAAAGCACATAGGTAGGTATCTGGTACAGAAGGAGGGATAGTGAATTGTGGTCAGGCACAAAAGGATGGAGTTCAAAGCAGCAAATCACAGATGAACCAATCTGTAGGAGTGAAAAGATCAGAATCATAGCAAGATGGAATCCAGTTACATTAATGAAGTTTGACAAATGTATGAAATTCTAACAGTGGGCATTCTGGTGGTTTTCTGTGTCAGGAACAAATCATAGTAGATTTGCCAATATAGAGTGGGCAAAATCAGGTGATTAGTGTTCATGGCTGAGGTGGGAGGGTGAAGAGATTCAGACGAAACTCTTAGCAAAGTCTTATCAAAATCATATAGTCCCAGATCTTGTCTAGGGCTTTTGACATAATTATATCTTATAATGCTGAACTAAAAGAAAGTCCCTGTCTCACAACACTTTGGAAGAGAGAAGATGTGACCATTTTCTGTAAATAATTAAAGGGCTGTGATACTTCAAAACATTAGTCCTATTGTTCAGGATCCAGAGAGCAGAGATAGAATTTTGACAAATAAGGAATTTTCTAACAGTGGGCGCTGTTTGATAATGAAAGAGAATACCTTGTGAGGCACCTTGTGTGAACATATTCAGAGGCTGCACGGCCTTTTGTCAGGGATGAACAGAAATTCATGCATCAACCGCAGGATTGAAATGAACTCTAAGCTTCCCTCCTACTTCACAATTTCTAGGGTGAACATTCTCAACGAAAAAATCTCCTTCAAAGGACAGTGGTTTTACAGTATACTTTTATGAATTTACTGTTTTATAAGCACAATGACAAGACATTTAAGAAATAATAATACAACTGAAAATGAAATGTGTTACTTTGATTTTGATTTTCAAGTTGGTATGATAGATTTTTCTGGCTTTACATTGAACACTTATGGTATGTCTTAGGAGAGGAGTTAGGGGACTAAATGAAAAAGTGCAGAATCGTTAATAGTATTTTTAATGTCTGATGCTCCAAATGCTGTTTTGTTTTGTTGAAATTTGCAGAAGTTTAGTTCTCAACTCCATCATAAGCCAAATAATTTAATTTATCATTGCACACAAAATAGGCATCGTGTATTTTTTGGCATAAAACATGGTTACATTAGATAATGTAGAAAAATTTGGAAATGACTACTTCTCTTTCTCTCCAATGTTGACTGCTAGAGATCCAGCAAATACTCTTTAATTAAGGCAGGCTCTCCAAAACAAAATCCCCTTCTGCCTGAGTTTGCTTCTAGAATGTAAATACTTGAACATAGTCACTGATGACTAATGTGTGTATATATATATATATATATATCACTATATGTACAAGGCATATAAAACTCTCAATTTAAGCTTTATAAACTGTTCATTTCTGTGATTTATGTCTTTCTGAAGATACGTTCCATGTCTAAGTTCTTGTTTTTTATTCATTCACATATTTGTTGATTTCCTACTATGTGCAAAGAGCTGTGTTAGATACTCTAAGGAATACAAAGGTGTATAAAATAAGGCATTTTCTTCCTGGTGATTTTAATATTGGAGTATAAAATAAGATAACTACACAGAACCAGAGCTTAAGGTATAATAGTATCAGATAAGCACGTTAATAGTGGTATAAACCAAGTATTTGTGAGATCAGAGGAGAGACAGACCTCTTACTGAGGAGACCCAATTGGGCTCCTGGAGGAAGTACCATTTGATTGGAGCTCTAAAGGATGAGTTGGATTTTATAAGTAAATATGGGGTGTTAGATTTTTATGGAATGACATTCTGACATTCAAAAAGGCAGGAGAGAGAGAGGAATGTTCAAGAAATAGTGATCAGATCCGCTCAGTTGGATTCTTACAAATAAGTCTGGGGTCAGATCAAGCATATGCTTTCAGCATCAGGCTAAGGGGTTTAGACTTGAGTTTGTAGAGAATGAGATGTTTGAAACAGTTCTTTAGAAAAATCAGCCTGAGAACAGTTTTCAGGGGAGTGATGTCAGGTAGAGAGAACTGTTAGAAGTATGAGGCTGAAGATAATGGTAGCAGAAATGGAATGGTATGAAAAATATTGGGAAGACTTAATCTACAGAATTTAGTGTATTGGTACGGGAGGGAAAGTGGAAGGAATATGGAGAGGTTTGCAGTAATTTCAAGGTTTAAAGTTTAGGTGATTAATAAGACATTAATAACATTGACAGAAATAGCAAAGAGAGGATAAAATTTTGAATTTGAATTTTTGAATTTAGATGTTTTGATTCTGAGATGCTAATAGCATATCCACAAGAAAAATCTTCAAGCATAAGAATAAAGATATCAGGCTCTGAAGTAAGACACATCTAGGTTTGAATGCTTCTCTACCACATATTGGGTAATTACTTCTTTTTGAGCCTTGGTTTCTGATCTGTAAAATAGAGCTCACTTTAGTACCTGAATATAGGTTTGTGTGTCAAGTAAATGAGGTAATTTATGTAAAATTCTTCTCATGAGGAGGGATATAATGTGGCTTAATATCAGTTAGCTAGTTCTGCTGATAACATTGCTGTTAGTAGGCAGGAGAAAACATGAGTTTGGAGAGTGTGACAGAAGCTAGGACTAAAAGTACAGTTTTGCTTGTCATCCTTGATTCACGGTTGCTTGAAGCCACTTTAACGGATGAAAACAATGATCCAACCTTGGGGAAATAGCCACATTCAGGAGATAAGAAAGAATAGGATTCATTAATAGTATCAGAGAAAGAGTTACAGGAGATGCCAGAGGAAAAATTCTTTGTGGGATTCTAACCAGGTACATTTCAAAAAGAACTAGCGAGCAGGGTTAGTTACCTTTTGCTAAAATCTCAAGGAGGATGTGGGTGAATAGAAGGCTACTGAATATTATTTAGGTCAATGGTACCACTCAAAGGCATGTAGCAGAGGAGTATTTTTGGATTTTAGTCTTTGGCAAGACTTCCCCCAAACTGTTTAATTTGTGGTATCACATTTCATGGTGTCAATTATGTTTGTCATTCACCACCTTGTACCTAGAAGTCTTAAACATCTGAGTTCAGCCATATTATAGGTTGAGAATTTCTAAAATTTTCTACAAACCTTCTAGAGCTATCGGAGACTCTAAATGTAGCCATCATTCTTATGCTTGCTTAAAAGGAAGGTAATACTGGCCGGGCACAGTGGCTCATGCATGTAATACCAGTACTTTGGGAGGCTGAGGCAGGCAGATCACCTGAGGTTTGGAGTTCGAGACCAGCCTGACCAACTTGGAGAAACCCTGTCTTTACTAACAATACAAAAATTAGCCAGGCGTGGTGGCACATGCCTGTAATCCCAGCTACTCAGGAGGCTGAGGCACAAGAATTGCTTGAACCTGGAAGGCGGAGGTTGCGGTGACCTGAGATTGTGCCATTGCACTCAAGCCTGGGCAACAAGAACAAAACTCCATCTCAAAAAAAAAAAAAAAAAAGAAAGAAAAAAGAAAGGTAATACTAATACTTTGAAATTAAATGGCTCTTTCTATTTTAATGCATTTTTACTTGTACTAGTTAATTTTATCCTTACAATTACTGTATTAGTTAAGTAGAAGTGTTCTAGTTCCCCATTTTATATACAAGGGTCCTTAACTTTCAAAATGTTAAAAAGTCAGAAAGTGAAAAGAGTTTGAGTTTGAATTTAATAGTTAAGAGCTATTATTAATAGCTAGTCAAGAATTTGCACCAAAACATTCCCTTCTTTAGTGATCCTCTCTTTCCTTCTTTGAAATCTATCTCTGTCTTCTCATTTGAAAAAATCCCTTCTTGCATCTCAATTACTCCTTGTTTTTTTTTTAAATAAATATCTTTAATTGATACCCTGTATGAGTAATCATTTTAGGCTAGAGATGTGAGTCCAAGCTATACTTTTTATTGAGGTGAAAGAGGAATGATGAACTCTAAATAAGCTTGATTTTTGGCTCTGCTAAAGAAAAGACAGAAAGAGAGAGAGAGAAAAAAACACCCTATGATTAGGGTTTAGCAAAAGCACTAGATAGCCTTGGTTGTCATGGAGACCACCACAGCCACTACTTTATATGCAGATAATGTGCAGGAAGGGTAGGCAGGAAAGATTATATATCTATATAGTTCACCAATGGTGAAATGGTAGCAATAAAAAAGTGACTGGCCTTGGGAGATAGGAATAGCCAACACAGGTGATGGCAGGAACAAATTTGAAGCCAGAGGTTGAGGGAGAGGTTTTGGCTGGGAATTCCAGGCGGGCAGTGTCTTTGAAAGTCCTTATATGGTAGTCATTAGTGCTGCTTATCAAATACTTCTGGCTTCCTTCCTCCTGAGTACATGATAGGACTAATACTTCTGGCACCTTTTTGGGTAGGGGGAGCCATGTCATTAGTTCCAGCCAAAGAGCTATCAGCAGAAGTGGCATGTGCCATTTCCAGGCCTAGAATTTACCTGCTTGGATAAGACACTCCAGAGCTTGGTGTGCCTTCTGGCTCATTGATTGGCAATATCCATGAGCTCAGGTCCCTCTGTAACTATGAAGAGGTGAGCCTCCCAGTTGATCCATGGTGGACATGCAGGGCAGGAAATGAGCCCTTGTTATTTAAAACCACCGAGATTGTTGGCTTGTGTTTTACCTCAATGTTGCCCAGCCTGTTTTAAGTAATATAGCTAATAAATGATGAGGGTAAAATTGGCAGGCTATATATAAGAAGTTTTTCCAGTTATCCATTGTATGTAACAAACCACTCCAAGACTTAGTGGCATAAAAATAACAAAAGTTCTATTATGCTTATGGATTCTGTGGGCTCAGAATTCAGAAAAGCCAAAATGGGGCTGGCTCTTCTCTGTTTCACAGTGGCTGGGGCCTTGGTTGGGAGGACTGGAATGACCAGGGTTAGAATTATCTAACCTGGTGGCTTCTTCATGTACATGTCTAGCACGTGGGCTTGATGGCTGAAGGATAGGGTCAGCTAGGCCTGTCCAACAAGCACCTCCATGTGGCTTAAGCTTTTCACAACATGATCAAAAGAATTTGAGAGGAAGCATCCAGAGAGCAATTATTCCAGAAGTCTAGTGGAAGCTTTTTGGTCTTTTATTACACATGGCATCAGCTCTGTGCATTGTGTTAGTTATGAGAAAGTCATTAGGCCAAGACAAAATTCCAGGGGTGATGGTGGTAGGGGGGGGTTAGAGTTAGACTTCACTTCTCCGTGGGAGGAATGTCAAAGAATTTGCAGCCATTTTTTTAAAAGCCATAATGGAAGGGTAAAGAAAAGATTGCATAGTCACAGAAGGAAACACTTGTATAATGTGGTCAAATCACGGTTCATTTCATAAAAACAAGATGCTATTTTTGTATAGTGTTCTGCAGCTTATAATAAACGTTCACATGCCTTATCTCATGTGATCCTCCCAACAGTTCCATGATGTAATGCAGGACAGTTACTTTTATCTCTAGAAAGCAAAAGAAGAAGAATAATTCTGAGAGGAGTCTGAACTAACTAAACGCTATACCACTGAAATGGATATATAGACATTTAAATTGATCTTCTAATACTTCAAACTACCAATAATTACTCTGGATTAAACAAATAAAATTGTATGCTCACTAGTTATTAGGCACTTTCTTTGGTGCTATGAATATACAAAGATGAGTTAAATATTTTTTCAAGATCTGGAAAAGGCAAAGTTGTAAACAGAAAACAAAGCCAAAGGCAGAATGGCATAAGAGCTAATGATAACGGTCCAGTGACAAGAATATGTAGAGGAAGAATCACTTAGTTTAGATGATGAGAAAGTGGTATTTAAGCAGAGTCTTGAAGAATTAGAAATGTTTAGATTGGTGGAAAAGGTAGACAGAACTTCTCCAGCATGTGCAAAGGCACAAACTACTTGTGTTCAGAGTTTACTACTGAAGAAGAAACTGTGACTGGAGTATAAGGCAAAAAGAAAAAAAAAAAGAGTAGAGGGGAAGCTGAAGGTGTACGTTAGTCAATTCACTTCAAATTGTCTCAAGCCTGCCTATGATGCCTTTATTTTGAGAGCTATGCAACAGAATATATTAAGTATTTTTCATGTACAAATCATTTTCCATCTTTGGAGACTACTTATTGTCACTAAGCTCTTTATCATCGCATACGTTTCTTCAAAATCATCTCAGTTAATGGTCTCACTCTCACTGCAAGCTACTGTTTTTGGTTACAAACTGCTTATCTTTCTGACAGAGTCTTTGCTAGGTTTTTGCATCCACATATTGACTATGCGAGAAATTAATAATACTGTAGATGGTCTTGAAATTTTCAAAAATCTTGAAGGAAGAGAGAATTATTAAAGGAATAAGCAGAGAATTATTAATGAATTTTTTAGAGTCACTCTCACAATGACCTACCTCTAAAATAGCATTGAAAAAATAAAGCATCTTTCTTCTTGGCTGATTTTCAAAACGATCTTTCTCCAGTTTTTAACACCTTTCTTTAAGCTACTCCATCTTGTTCTACCCCTACACCTCCTATCCTCTCCTCCCTCAAATTGCTAAAAATCCATAACCTGTTTGTTTTCTGTTACCCACCATTAAATGTCCTTCTGGATGAGATGAAAAGCTTTGCACTTTCAATAAAATATTATCTCACCAGGATTTTTTGATGTAACTTTTTATGACCATTAGGAGACAGTGAACATGAAATGATTAAATAGAAATGACTTTAAAGTACTGTTGCTAGGAGTATTTAATGTATTACCTTGAAAGTGTAATGACACTGAGCATATGGATCTTATTTCATTTTATGCTCCAAACAGGAAATTACTTTTTTGCCTAAAGGAGTTTAAACTGTTGTAAAGTTCCCACAGCATAGAGAAGAATATCGGTCCTGCAGAGAGAATGCAATGATTAAAGCAGAAGACGTCAATCCTGATCTAAAGAACAAGAACACCACACTGCCAGCAGGCTGGGGCATATTATGTGAGTGAAACCTTCTGCAGAAATCACTTGAGTATAGCAGCACAATTAAAACCCATTAATAAGAAACCAGGAGGAAGAAAACAGATACCCCGGACCCAATTAGCTGAACAATGAACTGCAAGAGCTGTATAGAAATAGAATCCATCATAGCACCAAGAGTTAAAATATACCATCAAATCCCTTAGGAAAATGTACAAGTACCCTGCACACACGTATACGTGAGGTTGCACAGTAAACTGGATGTATTTTTTATTATAAAATGTGGGGCCAGCTAATTTAAATAACCATTTTTATCATTTTTATAAGGTTCAAAGTCTTATAGATATTGTTAAATATAGAATCCTAAGTGGAATGATCCAACATCTAGCTTTTACAGTTAGGATCCTGGTGCTTTGATCGGTAAAAACCTGGAGAGAGGTAAGTATCAGAATTAGGACTTTATGAAATATGCTACATGTTTCATATGTATTCCTGTTATATGGAGAATAATTTGAGACAGAGTGCACAAGTAATTTGACCAATGTTACCCACACGGGTAACAGTACACAGTTCAGTTCAGAACCTGAGCTCTGAGCTGAGGCTGTTTCCTTTATTCACTGCTGCTTCAAGGCTCAGGAAATACCTCCTGCCTTACCCTTGAGTGGATTCAGGGTGGAAGGCATTACTCACAATTGTCCTGGTGGTAGAAGCAGAATTCCTGTATTTACTCACTGATTATTTTTGTTCTGGACATTGGGCCCCTCTGATGTTAATATAAATATCACATTAATTTTTTTAAAAAAGAATTAATACTCTCATGGTGACAGCCACAGTTTACAAATGATGTTGCTGAAAGTAACAATACTTCACTTTAAGGAAAAAGATGCGATTGGTATCTACTAGCAAATTAGCATACTTTTTCGTCTGAGTAAGTTTAAAGTCTTTTGCTGAATGTCTGACAGAATTATATTGAGTCAAAGCAATAAAGATGGTGATGAATTCTATACATTCTACCTCTTAAAGGTAGTTTTGGTTCAGAGAAGAGAATTTTGGATTACAATTACATAATTATGCCAAAATGTGTTTACAAGAATAAGTAGGCAACAATTGCTCCTTCTTAACAACTGCAACTTTGGCAAAATGCATAACTTTCAGAGATTCTCAGGATCTAAGAGAAAAAGATTCATTAGAACTGTAGACATTAATGATGTCTAGTTGAAAACATATTTTCAGCAGTTAGCACTTCTAGAATTGGCATCAGCTTAAATGTTTTTAATCTGCTCACATAAAAGGAAATTATATATTAAATGTTCAAAGCAATTATTTTTTGTGTTTAACAAAATCTTGCATTAGGAATATGACATAGATGAAAATGAAGTACATAAAAATAAACAAATTGCCTCTCTCACTTTTGGCAGCACCTAATTTTATGCAGTTATCTTTAATATTATATCAACTACTCATTTTTCCACAAATATGCATGAAAATCATGTTAAATATTTTTTAAAGGCATTTGCTATCTCTTGAGCGAAATTCTTGATATTCTGCTCTTATAATATTCCCAAGGACAATAAAAAAGTATACGCTGTTTTCAAGGGCAATTGCTCATTAGCAGTGGAGCTGACATGTCCAATTCAAAGCATTGGTAAGTCAGCCCCGAGTGAAATGGACACAGCTGGATTACTTTACCTAGTTTTACATGGCTAATTCAAAGTACAGCTTATTGATTTAAGGATAAAACATCATACCCTGTTAAACAATGTAGCTTGGCACCCATTTGACTTAGGAAAAATCTAATTCAATACAGCCAAATGTTTATATATACAAAGGAAAGTACTAAGACACTACGATGAAGATTAACAAGTAGTTTTTAAGACTACATTGCAGACATGTTTACATCACTAAGTATGTTTTGCTTAAAGTGTTCTAGATTTCCTGAGTTATTAAAATATATAAAACAAAAATATAACTCATATACTTAAACGTATACACACATATATACCTGAAAATAAAAATTGATAAATAGCATCACATCAAACTATTTTAAAGCAGGAATATACAGAGACTGTAATGTGGAGACTTCAATAATTTGGACCAGAAGGAATAATGGTCCTCTGTGCGAAGAGGACAGAAAACTGGGGCCAGAGCTGAGGGAATTAACCTGGCTTTTTTGCTGAGTTCGCATCAGAAGGGTGGCCAGCATCCAACATATAATGTTCAAAGGGTGGTGAACTCTTTGGACAGAGGGCAAGGCAGAAAAGATCTGCAAGAGTAGCCACAGTCAGTATTGGGTAGATGGCCATGTGGCTCCTGATGATCTCTCAGTAGACCAGGATTATAGGGAGCAAGATGAAGCCCCCAAAAGCTGAGCCAGTGCCCCTGTGTTCTAGTCTCAGGGGATAATGCTGCTGAAGGCCTGAAAAGCACAGCTATTTAAATGGTGTGCAGATTTTACAATCAGTTAGACCTGGATTATAATCCTAGCTCTCCCACATACTTGTCATGTTATGTAACCTTTTTAAGTTTAACCTCTCTAAATCTCAGTTTAATCACTGATAAAGTAGAGCTAAAAATACTTAGTTCAGAATATTTTGTGAGGATCATGTGATGTAGAATCTAGTGGTTAAGGATTCAGGGACTGAGAATGTAAAGATTAAATTATAGGTTCTGGAACCGGACTCCTTGGATGCCAATTTATGTATTTGGGTAATTTTACTTAATTCTCTCTGCTTCAGTTTTCTCATCTCTGTGAATGGGGAGCTAAGTGCTCCTATCTTTTAGGGTTTGTTGTTAATGCCGGGTATGTAATAGTAATCAATGAGGTTAATTATCATTATCTGTGCCATTATATGAACATACAAAAGACTTTTGTTGTTGCTACTATTTTTGTTATTAAGACAAGAATATTTACATGAGCTAAACATGGCAGTGATGAGAAAGCTGTGATTAGTGAAGACCTGTGAAACCAGGGCTCCTCTAAAATTTAAAGCCACAAGCTTAATTCCAGATATGTTGAAATAGGTTCTATGCTGAGCATGTGTGATTTGCCATTACCAAGAATGACTCAGCATCTGAGTAAGTAAGGATCACTCTAAATGAAAAGGCCATAAGCTAAGGCTGAACAAGAAAAGGGAAGTGAGAAAATACAAGACCATGCAGCCAGCATTGTAAGTTTTAAGAAGAAAACTAGATACGTGCCTACTGAGAATTTTGTTATGTCTTTCTCAGAGTTATTATAACATCCCTGGCTTGTTCTGCTCTGCTAAGAAGCTGCTGAAGATGTGTCACAATAAGTCATTTCTCACTGGGATCATCCCTTTAATTGCATTTTTAAAAAATGTACACTAAAGAACATTACTAGACACTTAGATTCTCAAGATCTTAATTTCCTTAGCTGAAAAATTGAGGGATTGTATAAGTTCTGTAATAACCTTTCAATTGATAAGTTATATGATTCTATGATCACATACCATATTTGGCTTTCCCTAGCATGCCACCTTCAGAGAGAGGAATGTGTGATAGTTGTAGCCACATTTTAGGAAGGTCCTTAGGGAACTTCATGTAATTAAAAACCTTTGGTTAAAGTCCACTGCCATAAATTCAGTGCTATAATGGGCTCTATTCAGTAGAGATTTCAATTTATAACATGTGTACATTAAATAAGGTAATTTATAATGAACCAAAGCCTGAGGGAGATCTGACTATTTTTCAGTACATTGTATTTTACCATTTTCTATTACAGGGTAGAACTGCCTATAAGGGGAATTGCTTCAAAATTTATGTTACGATTCATATTGGAAGCTTCTCACTTCACTTGATTCATTAAATCTTATAGCTATTCTAAATTCTGAAGTACTCCTGGCTTTGTACATATTATCTGTCTCAATAGTCATCATTACTTCTTCAGAAGCATTTTGCTTTTTTTCTCCTATGATATATGATGAAGCAACAATTATAACTGACATCTTCTAAGAGTAGCATGTGGCACCCTGTGCTCAGTGGGTGAGCTGCATTATCTCATTTAATCTTCATAGGAACCCTGCAAGGCAGGTGCTATCAGTACCGCTATTTTATAGAAGAGTAAACTGAGGTTTTGACAGTGTCACTATCTTGCTCTGGGTTACACAAGTGGCGAAGTTGGGACACTCTGGCTACTAATTTCACACTTCTAATTACTCAGCTTTCTAGATGACCATGAGGGAGGGATTGACAACAAAGATGGCAAAAGCTTCTGCATTTAAATGTGCAACCTTCACTAACAAAAAAACCTCAAAATGTTCAAGTGTACTTTGAGCACTTACCGTTATTTTGTAGAATTTGGGAATTCTTTCTAACGGCAAGTATTTTGTTTTCTAAAAGTCTGTCCACTGTACTTTTCTCAGATGGACAAATCTATTAAAATCTATTTTTAGTAAAACTAACAATTCATCCATGCTTTCAGTAAGTTCAGTAATTATTTCTTTTTGGAAGTGGCTTATAAAACTTCCCTGGAGCATCTTTGCCTTTTATGCTCTTGAAAAAATAAATTATTCTGAGTTCCCTCTGTCCTTAAAGAGCTGTTATTACTAACTGAATCCTTAGCATCACAAATAGGCCAAGGGGTAAGAGGCTTTTATTGATACTGTTCATTAAAATATTCATAACTAGGAATTTAAGATGCATTCCCTGTTGAGTGCAATCAAGCTATTATTGCATTTGTGTATCTTTCACCTAGCTTTTTGGAAGTAATTTTCCAAACTATAAAAAGTGTTAGATCTTATAAGTGGAGCACATACTTTTGGTGTATTGTGGGAGACTGGGAATGTGACAGACGCTTTTTCTCTCCCCAGGATGTCTTGTCAATTAATTCTTTAACCACTAATTGATGGGTGGTACAAGACACTGGGCTAGGTACTTTGACAGATACGGAAAATACAAGTATATGGTCCCTGGGACAAAAAGATGTATATTTAAAGAAATCAAGAACAACTTATAAAGTCTCACGAGAATACTGACAGCACTAAATTCTTTACAGAGAGAGGAATTTGTGTGGTGTTGTTTTGGAAGATTTAATAGAAGTGGTGAGCTTTGAGCTTGTTTCTGAAGGATGAACAGGAGGTAAAGGCCGGGAGGGATACAATAAACTAAATCTAGAGGCAGGGCCATAACCTCAAGACATGCTCAGGACAGCAAATATGTCCTCCCAGCTAAAGGGAATATGTGTGTAAGGGCAAAATGAAAAAAAAAAAAAAATGAGGATAGTGTGTATCCAGGTGGTAAAGAAGCTTGAAGGCTAATTTAAGAAGTTGGATCTTAATCATCAAAAGAGGCAATGAAAGTTTGTAAAATGGATAATCAACATGGTGGTAAAAACAATTTTTAAAGAAAGATAAAAATCATGACTCTCCTACAAGGAAGAAAATAAACATTCATTAAAGATGATATTGTGACGGTGGCCTGCAGTCACCTCATGGCCATCCAGAATTACAAGGCTGTCTGCAGAGATTTGAAAAATGGCAACAAATGAAAGTGTCAGCATCTTTAGTTCAGCATCCTTGGCTGTGGAGTATGTAGATTCACTTTCACCTGAGAATCCTCTGCAAGAACCATTTTAAAATGCGTGGAACTATATGCATTTTATATGAAATAAAATAAAATGTATAATTACATGTTGAATAACTATACAAAGTTCCAAACTGCAAGTAACTTGAAAAATCTTTTAGATATATACCGGTCATTTCAGAAAATCCTTAATAGTGGTGTTGGCTTTATATTTAACTTTAAACATCATTTAGAATTTGCCTAAAGATCAAAATGTCATGCATTGAACCTTATCAATTGATAGTAGTGAATGACTGAAGCTTCCAAATCATGAAAAACCAACACCAAGAACTTCCATTGTTATCTGGAGTTGAGAGTTTGGGCTGATTCTCTCTTTGAAGAGTCCTTTTTGATTGCAGTGCAGTACCGGCATCTATGAATTAAAGCATTTCTTGATGTAAGTGGAGTATTTTAGTCTAAAGATTTTTCAAGTTACTTGCATTTTTTAAATTGAGAAGCTTTATTTCTGCTGTTTACCCTTTCATTTTTATATATCAAATTTCCATCGTCATTAAAACTGTATCTTGAAACTTTGTGAACTGACTTGCTATATTTGCACTTTGAACTATTGAAATAAATGTTAACTTTTGTCTGACAAAATAGATGATGTAACTCATAATAAAGGGAAAAGGCAAATGTTAAAAAAAACTCAAAGAACAGACACATTTATTGATTAGGAATATTGAAATGAATGTGCAAATGGAGGCAGAACTGTTGTTTTAGAATAAGGAGGGTGTCTCTTCACTGGACGGAATATTTGCATGTCTATAGGTAAGATTTATTTTGCATCTTTATTAGCTATCTACAAAGTATAAAGTTGTAATAATCAGAAAACTCAGTGTATAGTGTTGTGCAAGCTGATTTGAAATGGAGGCTAAAGGTCTGTTTAGTGGTGGATAGGATGTCTATAGTGTGAATGGTATAGGAGAAAGGAATGTAACAGCAAATATGTGGTCTGGACATAATTTCATGATTAATCATGAAATTACAAGGGACAGTGAAGAATGTGTGATATATGTGAGTTTCTAATTTCCATCCCTGTGCAAATAAGAGTAGTATAGACAAATATAAAAACCACATGAGCTTAATTTTATACAATCGAGTCTAAAGTGCCATTTAAATGGAATTGTCCAATTGCATTCCTTTTATTTACTTTCCACAGTGGGAATTGCATGTTCTACTCTACTGTTATACTTTCCCTAGGAATTTATACTCTGCTAGAATAGTGGGCACTTCTCCTGTGAAGTGAGCTCTTCGGAGTGGTAAGCAGGATGCAGGCAAAAGAAGGCCTATTATATATCAGTATAAAGAGACTTATCATTGGATAAGGCATTTTGTTTCTAGAAAGTGCCTGAAATGAAAATATGTTTCCTTGCAAGTAAGATCTTCCTTTCTGAGGCTAACGCTATCAAATTGGTGTGTCAAAGGAATAACAGGACCCAGAGGAAATGTGGCTCAGGGCTGGTAAATTTTGAGGCTGGAAAATGATAAATATTTATTGTGTGCTGTTCGTGTGCATGGCACTCTTTTAGGTATTTTCCTAGCATTACCTTCTATTACCCTCACAAGAACCCAATGGGGTAGGTGATATTAGTATCTCCACTTATGAACAAAGAGACTAAGAGAGTTTAAGTTACTTGCCATGGCTCACAGGCCTACTAATGTCAGAGCCAGGACTGAGCTTGGGCTTGTGATTCCATACATGCAGCTACTTACCCCTCTCCCCTGCCACTTATGAAGAGTAAAAGGTTCACAGTGAAGGCTCTTCAAGGGAAGTCAGAACTAAGATGAGGGTTATAGCAAAAGTCCTGCCCGGAAATGTGAAAGTTCTGCATGTCTGGGGACAGGAAAATAGAAGTGCACAAGGAAAAGAAGATCATTCCTAGCTGGAAACCTGGAGGTTTTGAATTCAAGATAACAAGGATATCAAATTTTATCTTAGGATTGTGTCTTTACACAGAGTTGTTTCTTTGGGAACAATCAACATTCTGGTAGGAGTGTGGGCTATGAAACACCACCTGTAAATTCATAAGTGTCTTTGCTATTTACTAAGCAGTTTAACACTGCACAATGTGCTCTCTGTGCTGCAGTCTTCTCAACTGTAAAATGGGTATGACAGCTTCATTAGCATTATTGTGAGGAATAAATGAGTTCACTTGTAGAGCACTTAGAACAGTTGCCGGAACATAGTAAGCATTCTGTGAATATTTGCTATCATAAACAACATTGATTATATTAATGACACAATTCACTTTCCAGAGCATTTGAGTATATTGTGGTTGTATCAGTCATGGTTCTTTAAAGAAACAAAACCAATATGATATGTGTGTGTGTGTGTGTGAATCTATCTATCATCGGTCTATCTATCTATCTATCTATCTATCTATCTATCTATCTATCTATGCATATATCTATATCTCTTTATTTTAAAAAGTTAATTCACATGATTGTGAAGTCTTGGCAAGTCCAAAATTTGATGAGGGAGGCTGGCAGGCTAGAGACTCAGGAAAGAGTTACAGTTCCAGTCCAAAAGCGGTCAGGCTGGGGACCCAGGAAGAGTCGATGTTGAAGTACAAGGCAGTCTGCTGGAGAATTCCTTCTTGCTTCTGGTGGGTCACTCTTGTTCTATTCAGGCCTTCATCTGATTGGATGAGGCCCACCCACATTATGGAGAGCAATCTTCTTCACTCAGAGTTAACTGATTTAAATATTAATCCCACTCAAAAGCATCCTCAGAGAAACATCGACAATAATGTTTGATAAGATATCTGGACACTATGGACCAGCAAAGTTGACATATAAAATTAGCCATCAAAGTGGTAAATCATCTTAGCTTTTGCATCACAGTCTTTGACTACGTGGATCACTTATTTTATGCCATAGAAAAATAAACTTATAATTGGATGTCAGATGTCAACTATTTCTTTAGAGAGTGTGTCTTTTAGAGTATATTTCTTTCATTCTTTTGTCTCTTATGATTTTGAAGGATTTTCTTCCTCACCCCATGCATATTTAACTAGTGGAACCAGATGAGATCCAGCCTTTTGGGGAGGTATTCAAAAGCATTTTCCTTAAAACACATCCATAGTCAATGCCCTTTCCCTTAAAGTAATTCATAATGAACCCACAAAGGAATAAAAAACAAATGAGGCAAATGGAAATTTATTCAGTTAGATTTTAACTTTTTATAAAATCTTTTATGGAATCTTACTGTTGGCTTCTTTGTTCAAAGTTTGAAGAGGTTTATACTGAAGTTGATGCTAGCCTTGCTGCAGTTTTAAAATTTCTTTTGTGAAATCCTTCACTTTTTTAATCAGGCTTTTGTTGAGAATCACTGGTCTCGTTCTGCAACAGATCCCCTTCTGTATACACCTTTGGAAACACTGCAGGAACAGACTTCCATTTGCTTATCTATTAATCATTCTGAGTCCTTATCGAGTAGCTCGTTCTTCATTCAGGGATCTCTGGAGTGTACCTCAGTCACAAACAGGATGTTAGTTTTGTGAGTGTAGTTTTGGGTATTTGTTTTACACATATAGACTCAAGCAAGAAATTATTTTTTTATCCTAGGTTAATAAAAAGGCATATCATAGAGTTCTTACTTTAGCTCAAATCCAGCATTACAGCTATCTTCCCTATCACCTGGTTGGAAGTTCTTTTTCCTGGGATGTTGATTTGATGTTAATTTTAAACACCATTTTCCTTTCCAAGTATTTTAAGCTGTGAAATTAATATGTGCTCACTGCAGCTAGTGAAACAAGGAAAAAATTGTTAAGAAAAAGCTAATGATGTCTTTCTACCTCTTTAAGGAGACCAATGCCAACAACTCCAAGGTTATAGAAACACATACAAAGACATGCTAGTGTTGTTTGATTTTATAAATGATATAACACACATGAATTTGCAACTTGTTTTCGTCCTTTAACAATTCACTATGGACAGCTCTATAGGTCAACAGATAGACGTATTTCTCATTTAAAAAATCGCTCCTGTTTCAGCCTGGGTTCTCACAAAAGATCTCAGATAAAGGCTTGTCTACAGGCAGTTTATTCTAGAAAGTGATCCTAAGGACGAAGAGTGGAGGACTGGAAATAGTGAAGCAGAGGAGGAGGGAAAGAGTGAACAGGGGAGGAGTGGCTCAATATGAAGCTGGTCAGAACTGTGGGAAGCTGGGGATTTTGCAGAGCAGTGTAGAATGCATCTTGGAGTGATCCGCCCAAGGGACAGAAGAGAAGCCACTTACCTATGGGCTCCCACTCTCTTGTGGCCAGGGTATGTCCCATGCCCTTTGCAATTTCAGGTTTGCATGTGTGTTGGAATGGCTGAGTTAATACTTACAAATGTCCCAAAGTGTTGACAGAGAGACTCTGGGAACAAAGCAGGAAGTGTGCCATGCAGCTGAAGCAAAGTACTGTCAATCATACCTGCAAGCAGCTGGTTGCTACAGCAACAGCTGGAGTAAAATGTGGACTGAGAGTATGTGAGATGATACCCAAGAGATGTCTAAAACGACCACATAACGTTCCATAATGTGTATGTACCACATCTGTTTAACAATACACAGTTGGATAGATATTTTTTTTTCCCATTTTAGTTTTTGCTACCACAATGTTGCCCTGAAAATCCTTATACATATATTCTTATTTACTAGTGCTTTTAGGTCTATATAATGTATTCCTCAAAGTGTAGTTGCTGGTTCAAAGCACTTCTCATCTACTAACTCATTCATTCCTCTCACAGCTGAGTCATTATTCCTGTCCTTGTGTTTCACTTGAGGAATCAGGGGCACATTGGAGTCCAAGAAATAAAGGCAGTTTGAATTTTTAAATGGCTACAAAAAACTAGATTCCAAAATATTCTTGGACTGTAAAAAAAGAAAATTTTGACATTATTAAATCAATGTGTTTTTATTTCCTTAACCTATAAATCATGTTTTCTGCAGCATCATATCTTCAGTGAAGGGAGGCAGGTAGATGCTGCTCCCAGAAAAAGGAGGCTATGAACTAGCAGAACTCTTTCGCACAAGAAAATGAAGTGGAAAGCCTGATGCTTGCTGACAAATGTACCTGGAAGGTCACCAGGAGTAGAAAAATTAAGTCCACAGAGGGTTTGGCACCTCCTCACCCCTTCGTTATTCTGACCTCCTCATTGAGAAAGAGCACAAACACACAGTGCTCATGACCACAGAGGCAATGAATACACGGAAGTCAAGAATGGAAAATTGCTCAAGGTCCTATGGGAATTAATAGTGAAACTTACGTACATATTTTAACTCCCCAAAGTTTTAACTCAAGAGAGCATTAGACAAATATAGTTTAACTCTCTCCAAAGATGTTGAAGAATCCATCGCTTCTCTCCCATTCAAGATATAACAATAATGTCTTAATGACATTGTCTCCAGAGAATGTTAGGCTGTCTTGAAAACCCGTGACATTAGCCTTTTAGTTTAACTAGATTCTTGTGATTCTAGATGAGACATTTAAGGGCAGCTGTCCTTTATGACCTCCAATGCAATTGAAGAAGCAACGTGGTACATGTTTCCCTGAATAGGAAGGAAAAGAGAATTATGATGTATGTAGCATGAGGTGGAATCATTTCCCTGAAGACTGTGATTGTATTGTGCAGATTTTGTGCCTAATTAGCATTTCCAAATATGGATTTGATTGTCCTATGGTATTGCATGTTCATACTTACCAAGGATACAAGAACAAGTAACAGCTTTCTTACCAATAAGACATCTTATTTTCCTTGCACTTACTGGCTGCATAGAAACTACAGAAAATAAATCTCTCTTGAACATTTGTGAGATTTCCTCTTAAAATGAAGGAAATGTATCCCTCCTACAGATTGCAAGCAATTCTAAACTCTTTCCTAGGAGATTTCTCCTTAAATTCTTTGTGGCAAAATGCAATTTATTTTGAGTAGTCTTGAGTTCCTTAGGACTTTAATAAGTTTAATGAATGTTTAGCTGTCATTTCCTACATCAATGCTGTCTACTATGAGCAGCCATGAGCTTTAGATGTTAGTTCTTTATTGATCTACCAGACCAACTCCTTTCAGGGCTGGCAGGTCGGCATTAGCCATTTTAAAAACTTGTATGATTCTGAATGCCATAAGAAACAATAGTAAAAAAGTACTTTGATGTAAAGTGGATATTAGAAATGGAAATAATATGTTCATCAGTGTTGGCAACTACTGTTCCTCTGTCATTCTGATCTCCTCAAGGAGGAGGAATGCAAATGCCTGTCAAGGACCACTGTGGACACAATAGACACAGAAGCACCAAAAATGGTTATATTATATGTACATGCAGATGGTGGGATGCATGATAAGACAATGTGTCACTCAGACCATGGGAGTTGGAGACTAAAGCTTTTATGGGAGACAGAGGATTATAAAGGTAGGAGATCTGGAGGCTATCTTTATTAATTTATCATCCAAGTGCAGAGGGCTTTGATGTGGGTGCACTTTAAGCAGGTAGGAGATCTTGGTTTTAGTCAGATGAGTATTAGATTGAGCCATATGAGAAAGAAAGAGAAGATCAGACTGCCAAGACTAGTGTAGCTCTTTCTTTTTCTTTTCTTTTCTTTTTTCTTTTTTTTTTTTTTTTTGAGACAGAGTCTCGCTCTTTCACCCAGGCTGGAGTGCAGTGGCGCAATCTGGGCTCACTGCAACATCCGCCTTCCTTCCGGGTTCAAGTGTTTCTCTTGCCTCAGCCTCCTGAGTATCTGGGATTACAGGTGCCTGCCACCATGTCCGGCTAATTTTTGTATTTTTAGTAGAGACGGGGTTTCACCATGTTGGTCAGGCAGGTCTTGAACTCCTACCTTGTGATCTGCCTGCCTTGGCCTCCCAAAGTGCTGGGATTACAGACATGAGCCACCGCACCTGGCCTAGTGTGGCTCTTAGTTTGAAAGAAGAGTGACAAAAGTGAGGCCAGGTGGTCTTGGAGGCTCCAGTATTTTCTGACCTAGTTTTCTAAGCTAGGAGAGAACATAAAGATTTGCGGCAAAACCCTGGCTATGAATGAGGATTATATGCTGGCCTGTGCCACTGCAGAAACTGCAAGACAAGCACTCACTCAGTGGAGGAGAGAGATGCCCTAGCATCTGGCAGAGTAAGCCTGGGGCAACCTCTATGAAATCCTCAGCACAAACTGCACAATGGGAAAAGAGTTGTTTCCAGAAGAGATAATTATGTGCCAGACCAGAGCCTTCTGATTTAGATAGTCTCATAAAAAATTTAAAAAGACAATTATGAAGTTTGTCATATGGCATTGGAGAAAAATCTCCCTATTAAGTTCTAGGATTCTTCAAGATGATTTGGTTTCTACTGGGCTACCCAAAGAGAATTGCTTGGCTGCTATAGCAACTGTGTCCCTGGATATATAGCAATTGACAAAAACACTCTTTATATGCTGATTTTTATGCGTAGAAACGTAGGCTGGGCTGGTGAGATGGATAAAATAACAAGCTGGATGATAAAATTGCTATAAGACAATGCTGTAACTATCCTTTATCACACGCTTTACATTCCATTCACCAACAAATCCTGTCAACTCCATCACTCTCACCCTGGTCTCCTGTATGCCCTCTTGTCTTTCATCCATCTACTCTCCAAACAACTGTCAGAGTAGTCACTTACAAATACAATTCAGATTACTTTATTCTTTCAATTTAAACCCTCCAGTGGTGTATCAGTCAGCTCTTGCTTCAACAATTCTGCTTAACAAACCGCCATAACTTTTAGTGGTTTACAATAGCATTCATTTTTCTCACCCACAGGCAGCTGAGGTAGCTCTGCTTCACGCTTTACGATGGGTTCTGGTGTGTTCCATGAATCTTATTCTGGAGCCCTTGCTGAAGAGGCAGTGACCTGGAGCCTTTTCTTCGAATGGTGTATTAGTCTGTTCTCACACTGCTAATAAAGACATACCCGAGACTGGGTAATTTATAAAGGAAAGAGGTTTAATTGACTCATACTTCCACATGGCTGGGGAGACCTCACAATCATGGCAGAGGGTGAATGGGGAACAAAGTCACATCTTATATGGTGGCAGCCAAGAGAGCAGGTGCAGGGGAACTCCCCTTTGCAAAACCATCAGATCTCGTGGGACTTATTCACTATCATGAGAACAGCATGGGAAAGACCTGTCCCCGTGATTCAGTTACCTTCCACCAGGTTCCTTCTGCAACACATGGGAATTATGGAAGCTACAATTCAAGATGAGATTCGGGCGAGGACCCAGCCAAACCATATCAGATGCTAAGCAAGGTAATGTCTCCAGAAGCCTAGACAGCCAATGTGAGCATATTTAAGGCTTCTGAGTCACATTTGTTAACATTCCATTGGCCAAAGCAAGTCACATGCATCAAGGGTATGAGGAAATATACTCTACTTCCATAGGAGGACACTGCAACAAAATATGGCAAAGGATATGAGTGTGTAATTCTATTACAGACAAGTGAAACATTGTGAGGAATAACTGAGTCTCCTCAAAGTGGCTTCCAGTGGCACTTGGAAAAAAACCCCAAAACTGCAGCGTTTATTGCAGCTTGTAAGGATCTATGTTATCTGGCCTCTGGCTACCTTTCTGAAATAATTTTCTACCACTTCCTACCTTTCTTTCTCTGTTGCAGGTGCTCTGGTCCTTCTACTTCTTGTACTCTCCCAGCATATTGTTCCTGGACTTTCACATTCTTCATTACTTCTGCCTGAAATTCCCTGCACACTTCTGCACAGCTCCCTCTCTTTTGCCTCATTCTGACCCCTGATCAAATGACAGTGCCTAAGAAAGTTCTTCCCCAGCTGCACTGTTTAACGTAGCAGCACTTGCAACACTCCTTTTTAACCTGCTATATTATTTTTCTCCTCAGCACTTAGCACTACTTGTCAAGTGTTCTAAACTTATTTATTAGATTCTTGTCTGTCTGTCTCCTATAGGAGAATGTAAGCTCTGTGAACGCAAGGGCATTGATGATCCCATACATTGTGGAGGTGCAAAAGATAATTGTTGAATGAATGGATAAGCTGAATTGCATTAACTGCCAGGTTCCATTCATTTCCTGCAGCTTCTTTGGGATATACTAGTATGTGGCCATGTGAAGAGATAAAATACTCACAGGCCAAGTGCAAAGTTGTTGTTGTTTTCCCTCTATAGATTCTTGGATACAAGCTCCTTTCACACAGGGAAAATATTGATCTCAGAGTCATTTTTCTTACATATTCCTTTCCAGGTAGTTCTTGCCAGGTTTTAGAAATTGAAGGCCTAAGATTTTGTTATGAGCTTCGATCACTCATTTGCTTGAGTCAATGCACTCTGGATTGTTTGTGTGTTTGTGTGTATCAGGAATTGGCAAATTTAATGTTGGGTGCCAAGTTACCAACTCGTGTTTTTTGTTTTGTTTTAACTTTTCTTTTCAGGGGCAGAAGTTCACTTTTTTAAATTAGGTGTGGATATATTTGAATATGTGATTGTTCTTACTCTTCAGACCTAGGGGTTTGACTGAGAGTAAATGATCTGTCACTTGAGAGAGATATTGAAGCAGGCACTTTCAGAAACAGGATCTCCTTAGAGACTGGTATATAGGGAGAATTGGAGATGGCGAGAGGCTCAGTTTCTACTGGACAGGTCCAACAACAGCATGCAGATCATGGGTAGATAATCTCTCACATATGCAAGTATGCCAAACCAACAATATCTCATCCCTACTCTGCAGGCCAGGCGCAGCCAAATGTCAGCCACCAGGAGGACAGTGTGTATTGCAGCAGGGCGGGAGTCATTTCCAAAAAAGAGCTCATTATCAGTTAATAATTTGGGATGAAGTTAGGAAGAAGAGCTGTGATTTTGAGTTCTGGGAATCAAGCCAGAATCTGGAACTGGGATGGCAGCCAATCAGTGTGTCAAGCTGAGCAGCAAGGAAACCAGGGAACAAGGCGAAGGTCCACCATGGGATAACAAGAAAAAAGAGCAAGATATGGAGGGGCAGTTCTGAAAGTCATTCTGTGAATGCCGCTTGTGTGCCATGGAATTCCTCTTAGGTATGGCATATGATTGAGCTGAACCAGGTATATAAAAGATGTGTGCTCCGAATCTTTATATAAATTATAGTTCCATTTATTTATTTATCTTTAATTGCCATTATTGTTTGGGTAAAAGGTATAATTCAAAGGTATATAGATTTTGGAATTAGAAGGAACATGAGTTGTATAACAACAAAATTCAAAAGTGTGCTAAAATGTTCTAAACTAGTCATTTGTGTATTCTGTAATTTTTAACTTTTCCTAGGCTTGAGGTCTCCTTCTGTTGCCCAAGCTAGAGTACAGTGGCACTATCATGGCTCACTGCAGCCCTGAACTCCTGGCCTCAAGTGATCCTCCCACCTCAGCCTCCTGCGTTGGGATTACAGGTGTGAGCCACCCCACCTGGTTCAAGTCATTTGATAGATGAATATTTAGTCCCCATAGGTAGCAAGATTGATGCTTGTTACTCCAGTTGAAGGTAGAAGAGAAAGGATGTGAAAATAAATAATTGGGTCTATTTCTAAGCCCAAATTTCTTCTTTCAGAACTCGAACAATATATTTAGATCCTAATGGGGGTGACATTTAATGGAATACACATTTTTAAATTATTAAAGTACACAGTTTAAATAAAATATTTTTGTATATAACCAATACATATTTTGACACCTTTAAATTTTAATTTATCATCATTTTATTTTATCTTTAAGTTTACTTTAGGTCAGTATGCTGACATAAAGAACAAACTTTAAAATAAAATCTATAATTATACTGGCAATAGTAAACATATTGGTAAGCAAGCAGGTCTCATTCACGCAATTGTTTTGGGCATCAGGTAGTTTTAAATGAACACTGGTGAAAACTGCATTCCAATAATTCATACTGGTTTACTAAGATTTTCTCTCTTTGTAAAAAAATCACATAGTCTAGGAAAACATCTTTCATCTGAGATATTGACAAGGCACACTTTCTAGGATTATTTGGTTCATGTAATTAATTATTCTGTTCTGCCTGATACGTACATATTTTTTATTTCCAGCAGATTCCTTTTCTCTATTTACCCTCTTCCCAAACGAGTTTTAGACAGCAGATAATTTCAAATCAATTGTCTTGAATAATATAAGGACTTTCTTGTTTATTCATGGGAAGTCCTCATCACAATGTCTGGCACAAAGTAGGCAGTCTCTAACATGGGTGTCTGTACTCTCCCCAGACCTACATGTTTCCTCATCTTTCCTACTGTTCCCTCATTCAACAAATACTTACTGAGTGCCAGACAGGCTGGTCCAAAATTATATGATAATGAACTGCCCAAGTGGGATGCATTATGGCACTGGGCAGGGTCAAGGCCAAGACTATAATCAAGTTATATGGCCCATTTATATTTCCCAGTATTTCTAACAGAATTGTATCTTTTCAGTTTGAGTCTTCAATGGTTCTATAAGCAACAGCTCCCAGTTATTTGCCAAACTCTCTATGACAAAATATAAAGATAATATAAAATTCTTCATTTATAGTATTTTTTCATAATAGAACATTATTTTACATCATAGTATCATTGTATTATTATCTATTTCTGCGTAACAAATGACCTCAACATCTAGCAGCTTAAAACAATAAATGTTTATTATCTCAAAAGTTTTCTTAAAGTCAGGAATGCAGAAGCAGCTTCTCTTGGTGGGTCTGACTCAGGGTTTCTCCTGAGATTATAGTCAAATGTTAGCCAGGGCTGCAGTCATCTGAAGGCTTGACTGGGCCTAAATCATTCAGGGGTTACATGGATATATTGCACAGTGGTGATGCCTGGGCTTTGAGTGTGTTCATCCCCCATATAGTGAACATTGTACCCAATAGGCAATTTCGCAACCTTCCCTCTTCCTACCCTCCCACTTTTGTGGTCTCTAGTGTCTATTATTTCTCTTTGTATATCCACATACACCTATTGTTTAGCTTCCACTTATAAGTAAGAACATGCAGTATTGAGGAAGGGAGCCAAGATGGCCGAACAGAAACAGCTCCGGTCTACAGCTCCCAGCGTGAGCAACGCAGAAGACAGGTGATTTCTGCATTTCCCTCTGAGGTACCGGGTTCATCTCACTAGGGAGTGCCAGACAGTTGGCACAGGACAGTGGGTGCAGCACACCGTGCACGAGCCGAAGCACGGCGAGGCATTGCCTTGCTCGGGAAGCACAAGGGGTCAGGGAGTTCCCTTTCCTAGTCAAAGAAAGGGGTGACAGATGGCACCTGGAAAATCGGGTCACTCCCACCCCAGTACTGCGCTTTTCTGATGGGCTTAAAAAACGGCGCACCGGGAGATTATATCCTGCACCTGGCTCGGAGAGTCCTACACCCATAGAGTCTCGCTGATTGCTAGCACAGCAGTCTGAGATCAAACTGCAAGGCGGCAGCGAGGCTGGGGGAGGGGCGCCCACCATTGCCCAGGCTTGCTTAGGTAAACAAAGCAGCAGGGAAGCTCAAACTGGGTGGAGCCCACCACAGCTCAAGGAGGCCTGCCTGCCTCTGTAGGCTCCACCTCTGGGGGCAGGGCACAGACAAACAAAAAGACAGCAGTAACCTCTGCAGACTTAAATGTCCCTGTCTGACAGCTTTGAAGAGAGCAGTGGTTCTCCCAGCACGCAGCTGGGGATCTGAGAATGGGCAGACTGCCTCCTCAAGTGGGTCCCTGACCCCTGACCCCTGAGCAGCCTAAATGGGAGGCATCCCCCAGTAGGGGCAGACTGACACCTCACACGGCCAGGTACTCCTCTGAGACAAAACTTCCAGAGGAACGATCAGACAGCAGCATTCGTGGTTCACGAAAATCCGCTGTTCTGCAGCCACCACTGCTGGTACCCAGGCAAACAGGGTCTGGAGTGTACCTCTAGCAAACTCCAACAGACCTGCAGCTGAGGGTCCTGTCTGTTAGAAGGAAAACTAACAAACAGAAAGGACATCCACACCAAAAACCCATCTGTACATCACCATCATCAAAGACCAAAAGTAGATAAAACCACAAAGATGGGGAAAAAACAGAGCAGAAAAACTGGAAACTCTAAAAAGCAGAGCACCTCTCCTCCTCCAAAGGAATGCAGCTCCTCACCAGCCACGGAACAAAGCTGGACGGAGAATGATGTTGATGAGTTGAGAGAAGAAGTCTTCAGACAATCAAACTACTCCAAGCTACAGGAGGAGGAAATTCAAATCAAAGGCAAAGAAGTTGAAAACTTTGAAAAAAATTTAGACGAATGTATAACTAGAATAACCAATACAGAGAAGTGCTTAAAGGAGCTGATGGAGCTGAAAGCCAAGGCTTGAGAACTACGTGAAGAATGCAGAAGCCTCAGAAGCCGATGTGATCAACTGGAAGAAAGGGTATCAGTGATGGAAGATGAAATGAATGAAATGAAGCGAGAAGGGAAGTTTAGAGAAAAAAGAATAAAAAGAAACGAACAAAGCCTCCAAGAAATATGGGACTATGTGAAAAGACCAAACCTACGTCTGATTAGTGTACCTGAAAGTGGTGGGAAGAATGGAACCAAGTTGGAAAACACTCTTCAGGATATTATCCAGGAAAACTTCCCCAACCTGGCAAGGCAGGCCAACATTCAGATTCAGGAAATACAGAGAATGCCACAAAGATACTCCTCAAGAAGAGCAACTCCAAGACACGTAATTGTCAGATTCACCAAAGTTGAAATGAAGGAAAAAATGTTAAGGGCAGCCAGAGAGAAAGGTCAGGTTACCCACAAAGGGAAGCCCATCGGACTAACAGCAGATCTCTCGGCAGAAACTCTACAAGCCAGAAGAGAGTAGGGGCCAATATTCAACATTCTTAAAGAAAAGAATTTTCAACCCAGAATTTCATATCCAGCCAAACTAAGCTTCATAAGTGAAGGAGAAATAAAATACTTTACAGACAAGCAAATGCTGAGAGATTTTGTCACCACCAGGCCTGCCCTAAAAGAGCTCCTGAAGGAAGCACTAAACATGGAAAGGAACAACCAGTACCAGCCACTGCAAAGTCATGCCAAATTGTAAAGACCATCAAGGCTAGGAAGAAACTGCATCAACTAACAAGCAAAATAACCAGCTAACATCATAATGACAGGATCAAATTCACACATAACAATATTAACTTTAAATGTAAATGGGCTAAATGCTCCAATTAAAAGACACAGACTGGCAAATTGGATAAAGAGTCAAGACCCATCAGTGTGCTGTATTCAGGAAACCCATCTCACGTGCAGAGACACACATAGGCTCAAAATAAAAGGATGGAGGAAGATCTACCAAGCAAATGGAAAACAAAAAAAGGCAGGGGTTGCAATCCTAGTCTCTGATAAAACAGACTTTAAACCAACAAAGATCAAAAGAGACAAAGAAGGCCATTACATAATGGTAAAGGGATCAATTCAACAAGAAGAGCTAACTATCCTAAATATATATGCACCCAATACAGGAGCACCCAGATTCATAAAGCAAGTCCTGAGTGACCTACAAAGAGACTTAGATTCCCACACAATAATAATGGGAGACTTTAACACCCCACTGTCAACATTAGACAGATCAACGAGACAGAAAGTTAACAAGGATATCCAGGAACTGAACTCAGCTCTGCACCAAGAGGACCTAATAGACATCTACAGAACTCTCCACCCCAAATCAATAGAATATACATTTTTTTCAGCACCACACCACACCTATTCCAAAATTGACCACATAGTTGGAAGTAAAGCACTCCTCAGCAAATGTAAAAGAACAGAAATTATAACAAACTATCTCTCAGACCACAGTGCAATCAAACTAGAACTCAGGATTAAGAAACTCACTCAAAACCACTCAACTGCATGGAAACTGAACAACCTGCTCCTGAATGACTACTGGGTACATAACAAAATGAAGGCAGAATTAAAGATGTTCTTTGAAACCAATGAGAACAAAGACACAACATACCAGAATCTCTGGGACACATTCAAAGCAGTGTGTAGAGGGAAATTTATAGCACTAAATGCCCACAAGAGAAAGCAGGAAAGATCCAAAATTGACACCCTAACATCACAATTAAAAGAACTAGAAAAGCAAGAGCAAACACATTCAAAAGCTAGCAGAAGGCAAGAAATAACTAAAATCAGAGCAGAAATGAAGGAAATAGACACAAAAAACCCTTCAAAAATTAATGAATCGAGGAGATGGTTTTTTGAAAGGATCAACAAAATTGATAGACCGCTAGCAAGACTAATAAAGAAGAAAAGAGAGAAGAATCAAATAGACGCAATAAAAAATGATAAAGGGGATATCACCACCGATCCCACAGAAATAGAAACTACCATCAGAGAATACTACAAACACCTCTACACAAATAAACTAGAAAATCTAGAAGAAATGGATAAATTCCTCGACATATACACCCTCCCAAGAGTAAACCAGGAAGAAGTTGAATCTCTGAATAGACCAATAACAGGCTCTGAAATTGTGGCAATAATCAATAGCTTACCAACCAAAAAGAGTCCAGGACCAGATGGATTCACAGCAGAATTCTACCAGAGGTACAAGGAGTAACTGGTACCATTCCTTCTTAAACTATTCCAATCAATAGAAAAAGAGGGAATCCTCCCTAACTCATTTTATGAGGCCAGCATCATCCTGATACCAAAGCCGGGCAGAGACACAACCAAAAAAGAGAATTTTAGACCAATATCCTTGATGAACATTGATGCAAAAGTCCTCAATAAAATACTGGCAAATTAAATCCAGCAGCACATCAAAAAGCTTATCCACCATGATCAAGTGGGCTTCATCCCTGGGATGCAAGGCTGGTTCAACATATGCAAATCAATAAACATAATCCAGCATATAAACAGAACCAAAGACAAAAACCACATGATTATCTCAATAGATGCAGAAAAGGCCTTTGACAAAATTCAACAACCCTTCATGCTAAAAACTCTCAATAAATTAGGTATTGATGGGACATATCTCAAAATAATAAGAGCTATCTATGACAAACCCACAGCCAATATACTGAATGGGCAAAAACTGGAAGCATTCCCTTTGAAAACTGGCACAAGACAGGGATGCCCTCTCTCACCACTCCTATTCAACATAGTGTTGGAAGTTCTGGCCAGGGCAATTAGGCAGGAAAAGGAAATAAAGTGTATTCAATTAGGAAAAGAGGAAGTCAAATTGTCCCTGTTTGCAGAAGACATGATTGTATATCTAGAAAACCCCATTGTCTCAGCCCAAAATCTCCTTAAGCTGATAAGCAACTTCAGCAAAGTCTCAGGATACAAAATCAATGCACAAAAATCACAAGAATTCTTATACACCAATAACAGACAAACAGAGAACCAAATCATGAGTGAACTCCCATTCACATTGCTTCAAAAAGAATAAAATACCTAGGAATCCAACTTACAAGGGATGTGAAGGACCTCTTCAAGGAGAACTACAAACCACTGCTCAATGAAATAAAAGAGGATACAAACAAATGGAAGAACATTCCATGCTCATGGGTAGGAAGAATCAATATCATGAAAATGGCCATACTGCCCAAGGTAATTTATAGATTCAATGCCATCCCCATCAAGCTACCAATGACTTTCTTCACAGAACTGGAAAAAACTACTTTAAAGTTCATATGGAACCAAAAGAGAGCCTGCATCACCAAGTCAATCCTAAGCCAAAAGAACAAAGCTGGAGGCATCACGCTACCTGACTTCATACTATACTACAAGGCTACAGTAACCAAAACAGCATGGTACTGGTACCAAAACAGAGGTATAGATCAATGGAACAGAACAGAGCCCTCAGAAATAATGCCACGTATCTACAACTATCTGATCTTTGACAAACCTGACAAAAACAAGCAATGGGGAAAGGATTCCCTATTTAATAAATGGTGCTGGGAAAACTGGCTAGCCATATGTAGAAAACTGAAACTGGATCCCTTCCTTACACCTTATACAAAAATCAATTCAAGATGGATTAAAGACTTAAACGTTAGACCTAAAACCATAAAACCCCTAGAAGAAAACCTAGGCATTACCATTCAGGACATAGGCATGGGCAAGGACTTCATGTCTAAAACACCAAAAGCAATGGCAACAAAAGCCAAAATTGACAAATGGGATCTAATTAAACTAAAGAGCTTCTGCACAGCAAAAGAAACTACCGTCAGAGTGAACAGGCAACCTACAAAATGGGAGAAAATTTTCACAACCTACTCATCTGACAAAGGGCTAATATCCAGAATCTACAATGAACTCAAATAAATTTACAAGAAAAAAACAAACAACCCCATCAACAAGTGGGCGAAGGACATGAACAGACACTTCTCAAAAGAAGACATTTATGCAGCCAAAAAACACATGAAAAAATGCTCACTATCACTGGCCATCAGAGAAATGCAAATCAAAACCACAATGAGATACCATCTCACACCAGTTAGAATGGCAATCATTAAAAAGTCAGGAAACAATAGGTGCTGGAGAGGATGTGGAGAAATAGGAACACTTTACACTGTTGGTGGGACTGTAAACTAGTTCAACCCTTGTGGAAGTCAGTGTGGCGATTCCTCAGGGATCTAGAACTAGAAATACCATTTGACCCAGCCATCCCATTACTGGGTATATACCCAAAGGACTATAAATCATGCTGCTATAAAGACACATGCACAGGTATGTTTATTGCAGCACTATTCACAATAGCAAAGACTTGGAACCAACCCAAATGTCCCACAAGGATAGACTGGATTAAGAAAATGTGGCACGTATACACCATGGAATACTATGCAGCCATAAAAAATGATGAGTTCATGTCCTTTGTAGGGACATGGATGAAATTGGAAATCATCATTCTCAGTAAACTATCGCAAGAACAAAAAACCAAACACCGCATATTCTCACTCACAGGTGGGAATTGAACAATGAGAACACATGGACACAGGCAGGGGAACATCACACTCTGGGGACTGTTGTGGGGTGGGGGCAGGGGGGAGGGATAGCCTTAGGAGATATACCTAATGCTAAATGACGAGTTAATGGGTGCAGCACACCAGCATGGCACATGTATACATATGTAACTAACCTGCACATTGTGCACATGTACCCTAAAACTTAAAGTATAATAATAATAATAAAAAAGCTTGAAAAAGAACATAATTATGAAAAAACAAAATGAAGAAATAAAAAAAGAACATGCAGTATTTAATTTTTCTCTTTCTGAGTTATTTCACTTAGGATAATGGGCGCTAGCTCCATCCACATTGCTGCAAAAGACATGATTTCATTCTTTTTTATGACTGCACAGTATTCCATTATATATATATATCACATTTTCTTTATTCAATCATCCATCGATGGATATTTAGGTTAATTCCATGACTTCGCTTTTGTGAGTAGTGGTGCAATAAACATAGGTGTGCAGGGTCTTTTTGATATAATTATTTCTTTTCTTTTGGGCAGATAGTAGTGGGATTGCTGGATTAAACGGTAGTTCAATTTTTAGCTTCTTAAGAAATCCTCATACTGTTTTCCATGGTGGTTGTACTGATTTACATTTCTACTAACGGTGTACAAGTGTTCCCATTTCTCCATATTCTCTCCAACATTTATCTTTTTTTTTATGATAGCCATTCTAACAGATGTGAGGTGATATCTCATTGTGGTTTTAATTTGCATTTACCCGATTGGTGATATTTAGCATTTTTTCATATACTTGTTGACCATTTTTATGTCTTCTTATAAGAAATGTCTGTCCAGATCCTTTGCCCATTTTTAAAGTGTGTTATTTATTTTCTTACTATTCAATTGTTTGAGTTCCTTTTATATTTTGGATATTCACCCCTTATCAGATGTATGGTTTGCAAATACATTCTCCCATTTCATAGATTAGCTCTTAACTGTTTATTGTTTCTTTGGCTGCACAGAAACTTTTTAGTATGATGTAATCCCATTTGTCTATTTTTGCTTTTTGTTCTTGTAGTTCTACAGTTTCAAGTCAAGTGTTTAATCCATTTTGAGTTTGTTTCTGTATATAGTGTGAGATAGGTGTCTGATTTCATTCCTTTGTGTCTGGATATAAAGTTTTTCCAACACCATTCGTTGAGGAGACTCTCCTTTCCCCTATCTGTGTTCTTGGCACCTTGATCAAAGTGAATTGATCATAAATGTGTGAGTTTACTTACGGGCTCTCTATTCTGTTCTATTGGTCTATGTGTCTGTTTTTATGCCAGTAGAGTGCTGTTTTGAGCAGTTTAGCTTTGTAATGGCTTTTGAAATCAGATAGTAATGCCTCTGGGCTTTTTTTTCCTCAAAATTGCCTTGGCTATTTGGAATCTTTTGTAGTTCCATATAAATTTTAGGAATATTTTTTCTATTTCTGTGAAAAATGTCATTGGCATTTTGATAGAGATTGCATTGAATCTGTAGATCACTTTGGGTAATATGGACATTTTAACATTAATTCTCCCAATCCATGAACATGTGACATGATTCTAATTTTATTATTCATTAAGTACTGTCTACATGATAAGCATTGTACCAAGGACCTTAAGAGATGAAAAACAATAAATAAGACACAATCTCTGATACTAGGAATATGATGATAACATCCACTTGTTCAGTGCTTTTCCTATAGACAAGACACATTATACATCTGACCTTCATTTATTGAGGTTAGCAGAGTAGATGCTATCCCCATTTTAGAGATGAGTAAAGTAAGGCTTAGGGCATTTAAAGGATTTATTCCACACTGCAGGCCAAGGAGGGCCAAATCTGAGCTCAAACTCAGGTATTCTAACTGCATGTAGAGCATGTTTCCTGTACACAAGGTATGAACTTAGTACATAGCTAGTGCTTTCAAAAATGTGCACTGATTTGAAAACAAGAACACAAATGACTAAAATTTTAAAAGGCTATTTAGAAGGATGCATGACTGTTGCAAAGTAAGCATTGCTCTGGATCTCAAGTATGGAATATGAGATCCTTTGTATCTCAGGATAATCTCCTACTCAGGACCCAGAAAAGGGAGTAAGGGGAAAGTGTCTGTGGACCAACGTTATCTCTTAGGATTCATTGCTTTGTTTTTAATATTAAAAAAATACTTTCTCTGTTAGAGAAGTTTTAGGATCATAGCAAAATTGAGCAGACATTACTGAGAGTTCTCATAGCCCCTGCCCCCACACATGCACATTCTCCTCACTATCAACATCCAGCACCAGAGTGGTACATATGTTACAATCGATGAACCTGCATTGACACATCACTTTCACCCGAAGTCCATAGTTTACATTAGTGTTCACTCTTGGTTTTGTACATTCTGTGGATGTGGACAAATGTAGATAATATATATCCATTACTATAGTAGTATACAGAATAGTTTCACTCTCCTAAAAATCCACTATGCTCTAACTATTCATCCCTCTTTTCTTTGTAACCCTGCAACCACTAATCTTCCTACTAACTCTATATTAAACACTTAAAGAAAATCATGCCTTTCATATGGCTTAAAATACATTAATTCCTTCATTACTTTATTGCTACCATCTCTTCATTTTATTCATCATCTTATTTTACCTACTTTCTCTTGTTTAAAAAAATGACTCCAAAAGAAAAGAGAAATTAAATATTAAAAAATAAGAGTGTAATTATAAGATTTCTTTAGATACTCTCTACATTGATGGTTATCCATGTCTTGGTTGTATGGGGGAATTAGGTCATGTTCTTAGGTATTTTTGATTAAAGGGAGCTGTTTAAATTATGGATGTGTAAGAAAGTTATAGTTTCAAATACAAAATATATATTTGCATTACACAGGTTTAAAATGATAATTTCTCAAGTTTGGTATTAATTTTAATTTTTAAAAATATCATTTTCCCTGGAGAGGTAGAAATGGCACCTAGGTCCAAGGGGAAATTACTTTACAGAAGCTATGTAATTTAATTGGATTTGCTTTTAATAATGTGTGACATGAAAAGGTTAATTTTAAATGTTAAGAAGCAGTGAATTCCTTAAAGAATTCACTAAAAGTTAGTTTTACTTTACAAATTACTTTGCTGTGCCATCTTTCTTGCCTGAGGGTCATTTGGTACTGAAGGTTAGGCTGTTGGATATAAAATAAGAATGAGAAGGAATAATGTAACATCAAATAGAACAAAATTTCACATTCAAATGCTCTGACATAAATGAAACCACCATTTTACACAATTTTAGGTACCTTTTATTTTTAATATATCTTCAATTTAGTATATTTTAGTATATTTATTTTAAAATATTTTAAATTTAATGTCCTAAACCTAATGTCCTTTATTTTTAGTATATCTTCAATTTAGCATATTTAGTATGTCTAATTTAGTATATACAGTATATTTTCAATTTAATGTCCCAAACTTACACAAATTAATAATGTAGTTTAAAAGAAAGAAAAATTAGATTTAATGTCCTAAGAACAATTTTTACTTATTTTGTTTCATTATAGTGAATCCTTTTTGATTTAGCTTTCAGGAATCATTATTCCTAAGTGTGATTTTGAAATACTTCTTTCAGTTCATTTAGCTGTAAGTTTTAGACCTGATAAATGGAGAAATGTTTAACATTCCTGCTCAGAATTTGAATATATAGTACAAGTATTCTAATAAAGTAAAAAATAAAATAACCATCTTTTACGTTAGGTAGTTCACTAGTTATTGACCCAGTAATAAGTCATCTCATAAGTCAAATAGTTTCAAGGCCAGAACCTCAGTATAATTTATCAATTCATTTATCTGTCAAGTATTTATTAAATATCTTTTAATTCTTTACAAAAGTACACAATCCTGGCTCTCTTTTCCTAATTTTCAATATAAAGCTTGACTTATGACTAAATAGTAGCAGTGTCAGATAGGACTACACTCTCAGGTTAGGGATCTTTGTACTGTAAGAATTTCGTCCAGAATATTTACAGATTCAACTAAATTTTTGTAACAAAATACATCCTTTCACAACTACCTAAAATAATACAAAATGTGAGCTCTTGACACCTGTGAAGTTTAAAGAAAAAATAGTTGGTGGTTGCAGAAGGACTCAAATACAAACTGGAAAAGCCAAGACGGAGGGCTGCTCGGAGCTATTATTCGCTAGGTGAGGTTAGCTTGTAGAATGCAAACAGACTTCAATTCTAGTGGTTCTGTAACCAGGGGCAGCTCAGCTAACCTCTCTCAGTTTGTTTCTTTTTATGGGAACAGCAACCATCCCAGAGCATTTCTGTAGGAACTAAAAATAATACATGAAGAAGTTCTCAATGTAAATGGTCTTTATTCATTCATTTTGCACTTGATATTAATAAATATTTATTTACACCTTTAGATTAGGCACCAGGCTCCCATGTGCTAGTGAAGGAGGAAGGCGTGACTTCTCATTTAGAAATTTTACCATAATGGAGGAGAATGTTATATAACTGTTAGTTGCCCACTGCGATGGTTAAACTGTCTACTTGATTGGATTGAAGGACGCAAAGTATTGATCCTGGGTGTGTCTGTGAGGGTGTTGCCAAAAGAGATCGACATTTGAGTCAGTGGGCTGGAGAAGACGGACCCACCCTTAATCTGGCGGACACAATCTAATCAGCTGCTAGTGAATATAAAGCAGGCAGAAAAACTTGAAAAGGCGAGATTGTCCTAGCCTCCCAGCCTACATCTTTCTCCCGTGCTGGATGCTTCCTGCCCTCAAACATTGGATTTCAAGTTCTTTAGTTTTGAGACTTGGACTGGCTCTCCTTCCTCCTCAAGCTTGCAGACGGCCTATTGTGGGATCTTCTGATGATGTAAGTTAATACTTAATAAACTCTATCAGGATATATATATATATATAAAATAGGATATCTATATCTATAAATAAAAATAACTATAATCTATATCTATAAATAAACAGATATGTCTCCTGTTAGTTCTGTCCTTCTAGGGAACCCTGACTAATACATCCAACTTCATGAGTGGCTATTAAAACATCCCAAGAAAAAGAATAGGCAAAATTGTTTAGTATGATTCTATGAAATAGTGACATAGAAGTGG
Source organism: Homo sapiens (assembly GCF_000001405.40). NCBI lineage: Eukaryota > Metazoa > Chordata > Mammalia > Primates > Hominidae > Homo > Homo sapiens. Next base: position 113,863,205 of record NC_000004.12, read on the forward strand.
CATTTGTAGGTTTCACCAGATTTCCGTGCTAAGTTCAATCATTGTTGTTTTCATTTAATGTTTATTAACTGGATTTATAATATATTTTCTTTTTTTGTAGTACAGAGTGAAGAAAAGACTGAGATACTGATAATTATTTTGCAAATGCAGAAGTAGCATGATCTATAAGCAGATAGGAATTATATCAAGAGTGAGGAAATGTAATCTTTGATCATTTAAAAAATATTGGTGCAATCATAGATAATTAACTTAGTCTCCTTGTGGCATGAATTCCGCACTTGCTAAATAAACAGCTTGTCCAAGTTCATTTAATGAAAATCGTATCAACAAATATTTATTTTATAATATTCTACGCATTATGGAAAAAAGTAGAAGCCCCGAGTTTTCAGTCAAGCTAAAGAGATAAGAATTCAAACTATGAAATGAGATTTAAAAATGAGACAGAAGAAGATTTCGTAGGACAAGAAACATTTACTTGCCAATGAATGGTACATTCTATATGTGCTATAGGAACTAAAATGAGAAAAAGATTGATCCACATACTAAGAGTAGGGAAGAATTTATAAGAAATGTAGGGGGACTACTAAATCCTGAGAGATATAAACATTTGAATACATGAAAAATGTCAAAGTGAAGAGAATGTCTAAAGATACTTCGGGTCTATAAATCCCTTTAGGAAGTAAAAAAAAATTTCCAGTTCTCAACTAAATGGATAGACAGTACATGTTCCTTAAAAAATAACTAATCTTCTTCTAAAAAGTGCTGCCTAACCTGCCTTTAGGATTATCTCACATGCAACAAACAAAAGGACACAAGGATACCTACAGGCAAACACATACCATGTCATTTCCTGGTCAGATATTTAAGAATGAATGATGCCTTACGTTAGCATTTTATTGTTGTTGTTGGCTGGTCACTAACTATTTACTAAAGTCCTTCCCTTATTTGCAAATGAAATTATAATCTCTTAAAATATCCTTTATACATAGTTAGGAGTGTGGGTATTGATACTGCACCACCTGGGTTTAAATCCTAGTCTCACTACCTACAACAGGTATGACTTTGGATAAGTTACTTAACCTCTCTGTTTCTCAGTTTCTTCTTTAGTAAAAAGGGGATAATAATAGTACCTATTACACAGCGTTGTTGAGAGAATTAATTTATATATATAAAGTATTTAAAAGGGAGCCTGGCACATTGTATTATGAGTATGGGAGCTGCTTATATGATTTGATATGTGCGTGTGTGTGTGTATATATATATATATATATATGTTACATATAATATGTGTGTGTGTATATATATGTTATATATAATATATATGTATGTTATACATAGATGGTTCCTGATTTATGGCAGTTCAACTTATGATTTTTTGACTTCACAATAGGTTTATTGGGGCATTAAATGTATTTTTGATTTACGATATTATTGACTATGATAGGTTTATCAGGAAATAACTCCACTGTGAGTCAAGAAGCATCTGTGTACGTACACATATATAAATATATAAGTAAGTATATATTTAAATATATAAAATAAATATTTAAGTATAAATATATAACAGTTGCTAGCGTCTTTACGTATACAAATATATGTATATAAAGGGTGCTAGTAACTGTTAAATTATAAAATGATAATATGTTTAATCATAATTTTCAGTCATAAAATGATTGCTATTGAAGACAGTACAATGTTTACTAAGTGATAGAGAAGTGGAAATGAGAATCTTTGAGATAATGTTATTAGAAAAAGTTAAAATTGAAAATTGGTCCCAGAACACATTCAGTATTTATCTTATAAGTCATAATATGGTTCGCATTTTTTCTCAAAGCACTAGTGTTTCTGAAAGTCAGTTCTGTAGCCACTGGGATCACCTAATATGCAGATAACCTTATGACGCAGCATTAGCTGATGAACTCTCTGGCTTTGTTTACTTTGAGATGTTTTAAAATTTCATTGGATTGAGTGAACTCTGCCATCTTTTAGCAACTATTTTTCTCCTATTCACAGTAGCCTAGATTAAATAAGGCTAGAGACTTTTAAAATAGTAGGTGCTTCTTTCTTATCGTGCTTGGATTCAATGTATAAAGTGAAAAATAATTTATGTATGCATTGTTGCATCTGGCTACTAATGCGTGAAGCAAAGGCTTCATATTTTATTTATAATCTGTAATGAGGAAAGGTCTGATTAAATATACAAATATAGCTACAGAGCCACTGCTCATTAAGGATATCTGATTTCTTCTGACATTTTTTTTCTATGAAAGAGGGTTGGCGTCACTTAGGAAATTTTTTTTTAAATACTGAAGCCTAGGGGACAAACTATTTAGTTTCCTGGTCAACCTTAGGTATTATTTATATTGTTTTTTGACTGTCTAGGCTCTCTCTGATGAATAATATTACATTGGAAAATTCTTTATTTATTTTCCTCTTTATATCTCCAGATCCTATATATTGAACATAATATCATACCTGACTAATTTAAAATCCTGTGCCTGAGTGATGCATGCTTTTGTGTTCATTTTATTATCTAGTATAGTATCAGTGTGCAATTTCTTCTATTACAATTTTGAAAGCTATAATGATAGCACAGTGAAGTAACTATATGTTAATTATCCATAACTAATGAAAACAAAACTTGTTTTTCCTACACTCATGAGACAATTTATATGTGATGGATGTGCCAGAAACTTTTTTCATAAATACTTAGGGTATATTCGTTCTATTTTAAGGAATAAAATAATACAATTAGTTTGAATTTATCATCTCATTATTTTTGAGTAGGCAAGGATTAGTTCGGCCATTATACAACATTTACCCACTAGTACTAATCAAGAAGGAATGCCCTAGCCTTTTCTATTTAACAAATCTTTTATTTTTATTGAAGCAGATTAAAAGCTGATTCAGTTACCTAAAGTACATTTACTTTGAATTCCTTCCTTAATGTGGGTTCCATGGGCAGACTTCACTGTTTTTAGAAAATATTTTCCTCCTGGCCCATTATTACTAAGCTTCCAAAGTATTCTTTAAAAAGGACCACGAATATCATCTTGTTTACAGCTTGAATAGAATGACCTAAGGTAGCCAGCACAAATCCAAGAACTATTACTCAGAAAAACTTATTTAGTTATAAAATTAGTCTACAGCAGTAGTTTTCATGAAATCTTTGGAGCCCTGTTTATTTAAGACATCTCATCCCAACAGAAATAGAAGGGACCTGTTTTGAAAACCAATGTTCTAGACTAGAGAATCCATTTTTTCTTTCCCCAATCACTTTATATACAAATTGATAACTAGGGTTGTTAAAGATTTTGCATACACATTGAAAACTAGATATAATGAAGGCAAAGTATTACTATATATATTCTTAAATCTCTAAATTAAATTTCGAGATAACCGTAGATATAATTTGACAATTAGGTTAAAAAATGATACTTCTGCCCATAATTCTCCACATTAAACAACCCTATCATTGTTTAATTTGGACTTTGCCTACAAGTCAACATCTAAATCTTTAGTTTCATTTGTGTAGCTACTCTGCCTTCCATTCTCACAGTTAATGCAATACTAGTTGAAAGAGAAGTTATTATGATCTTGTTCCTTAGACTGTCCTCAGTGCTTAGAGAGGCATAAACATCTTACGTATAAGCAGTCTAAAGATAAGATTTCTCGGCAAAACCTCCATGCTTCCTGCTGCTTTTCACTACACAGATCATTCCCTGGCATAACAATCCCTTCATTTCAGCTGTACTGCTCATAATATTTTTGGTCTCCAAAATTATGGCTCTTTTGTTACAGGTTGATGAAGCTTAGTGGGTAGAAATGCTGTGCATTTATACTAAATAAACGTCACCCTTCTTAGCTTTTCTCCACAGACATGTCTTTGACCACACACTGCATCATTCATTTCACCATTCATAAAACATCTAGTGAATATCTAATGTTTCAAGCTCTGTGGTTCTGTGTAAAGATTATAAAGTCAAAAAGAGAAAAAAGAAAAAATCTTCCCTATGAAAAGCCTGAATAATGGTATGGGAACCCTAATTACAAAAAAGGGATGAGCACTTCAAACAAGTATGGGGTTCTGAAATTGAAAAAGTGATCTAATTCTAGTGCAGCTTAGGAGCCAGAAAAAGGCTAGGTACTCACTAAATATTAGTTGAATGAATAAATAGATCATGATACTATTCTCACATCCTAGCCAATGTATAAGACATTAAGTAGGCCGGGCACAGTGGCTCACACCTGTAATCCCAGCACTTTGGGAGCCTGAGGCGGGCGGATCATGAGGTCAGGAGATCGAGACCATCCTGGTTAACATGGTGAAACCCCATCTCTACTAAAACTACAAAAAATTAGTCGGGCGTGGTGGCAGGCGCCTGTAGTCCCAGCTACTCAGGAGGCTGAGGCAGGAGAATGGCGTGAACCTGGGAGGCAGAGCTTGCAGTGACCCGAGATTGTGCCACTGCACTCCATCCAGCCTGGGCGACAGAGCGAGACTCCATCTCAGAAAAAAAAAAGGACATTAAGTAGAAAAAAATAAGATTTTTATTTTGCAGTAAATAAGACAAAAACATTTATTTGTTGGCAATATGGCATATACAAAGAATATCCAAGAAAATGATTTGAAAACCCTTGTATGAACAAAATGATTCTAAAAATGGATCAGGTATATGAAGGATACAAAAAATCAAGAGTTTTCCAGTGTAATAATTACTACTTAGCGGATGTAATGAAAGAAAATTATTTCATTTCGAATAGCAAGAAAATATTATCAAGGGAGAATTCTAAGAAGAAATACCATGATTCACATTAATTACAGAACTTCACCAAAAAAAAGAGAAAACTCATGTGTAGAGACAAAATATTCCTCATGAGAGTATTTTAAATATCTCAGTTATTTCCAAATTAATATACACTCATTACAATTCTAAGTGAAAAGAATAGTAGGATCATTTTAGGACTGTGAAATAAAGGTTTGAGTGTTTATTTGGAATGATTAAAAACTTAAAGGAGCTAAATGCCTTTTTTTTGAGAAAAAATAAACTGGAATCTTGCCTATTAAGACAATAGGCCTGATAGATTTAAAAAATATTATAAAACTAGAAATACATCATTTGTTGTTATAAGAATTGATAAACTAATCAAACAATAGTGTATATGTTGTGTATATATGTTTATGTAATATAATATTCATTGAAATTTATTTATACATATAGAGGTAGATGGATGGATTCTTCAACAAATGGCATTGAGAAATGGCCTTTTTCTTCACAGTGGGAATGGGGGATTTACCTTAAACCTCATTATATCATGTACCAATATCAAGCCCAAGTGAATCAAAAAGTTAAGTATAAAAAAACTCTAAAATATACTAGAAGAAAATTTAAATATTAACAGAATAGGTGTGTATCATCTAAGAATATACACTATGTAAGAAAATACAAATGAAATAAAGAATTTAAAATTTTTGTATGGGAAAAACCTCCAAAAGGCGAATGAGAAACTAGGAAAATGTAATAAACTATACATAAGAAGTTAATATGCTTACTATATGAAGACTTTCAAAGAGCAATGAAAAAATGTTTTAGTTCCCAACAGAAAAACTGACAATGGTGTAGACAATTCATACAATAAAAAAGACAAATGGCCACAAAAAACTGTGTAAACTCTCAAACTCACTAATCATAGAAAAGCAATTAAAAGACTGGGCACAGTGGCTCATGCCTGTAATCCCAGCACTTTGGGAGGTCTAGGTGGGTGGATCACCTGAGGTCAGGAGTTTGAGACCAGCCTGGCCAACATGGTGAAACCTCATCTCTACTAAAAGTACAAAAGGTAGCCCGGCACGGTGGTGTGTGCCTGTAATCCCAGCTACTCAGAAGGCTGAGGCAGGAAAATAACTTGAACTTGAGAGGCAGAGGTTGCAGTGAGCTGAGATCTGAGATCGCACCACTGAACTCCAGCCTGGGCGTCAGAGTGAGACTTTGTTTAAAAAAAAAAAAAAGAAAGAAAAGCAAGTAAAAATAAGTTGTAATAAATGCCAAAAACACAGAAATCCTCAATGTTGCTGAAGATATGATTAGACAGACTGTTTTATATACTGCTGGCCAAATCTAAATAGAAATATTATTTCTTAGAAAACAGATTTTTAGGAAAACTGATTTATATACATTTATCTTTGCATGATTTAATAAGAAAATTATAAACCTAAATATCCAATTATAAGGGAATGTGTGTATCACTTTTGTTACATCTATAAAAGATACCACTAGTAAATATTTAGCTTTTGGAGAAGAGCATTTATTATTTTTTTAATAATATGGAAGTAACATTATAATTATAAAAAAATCAGAGATAATGAAAAACATAACAAAAAATGACCTATAGTTCATCCACACAAACACTTTCTATCTTTAAAGTTAAAATTAAACTGTATAATAAGTTAAAATTAAGCTGTAAACAATGTTATATATATGTGTGTTACAAAAAAAAATGAATGGAAATTCCTCAAAAAAACAGTATTTGAATTAAGGCAGATGCTGTTGTGACCATTCTTTGATCTACTAAAACTTTTTCTGAACAGCAATTGGAATAGAATATGTACGTGTGGTGGATTATTTGCAAAGACAGCCATGAGTAAGTCCTTCCATCCCTGTATATGTATGCCTCTCCTTCTATGAAGAGGCAAAGTCTGTTTTCCTCTGCCCTTGAATTTGGGCTGTGATATGGTTTGGCTTTGTGTCCCCACCCAAATCTCATCTTCAGTTGTGGTTAAGGGAAAGACCTCATGGGAGGTGATTGTATCGTGGAGGCAGTTTCCTCCATGCTGTTCTCATGACAGTGAGTGAGTTCTCATGAGATCTGATGGTTTTATAAGGGGCTCTTCCCCCTTTGCTCTTCCACTCTTCTCTCTCTGATGCCATGTGAAGAAAGTCCCTTTGCCTTCTGCTATAATTGTAAGTTTCCTGGGGCCCGCCCAGCCATGTGGAACTGTGAGTCAATTGAAACTCAGGTATTTATTTATAGCATTGTGAAAACAGACTAACATAGGCTGGTTGTGTGACTCATTTTGACCAGTGGACTGTGTTGAAGTGATATTGGTTGACGCCTGGACCTAGATCTTTTTTTTTTTTTTAATTTACCAAGTTTTTTTTTTTTTCTTTTTTTTTTCTTTTTTTTCTTTTATTATTATACTTTAAGTTTTAGGGTACATGTGCACATTGTGCAGGTTAGTTACATATGTATACATGTGCCATGCTGGTGTGCTGCACCCACTAACTCGTCATCTAGCATTAGGTATATCTCCCAATGCTATCCCTCCCCCCTCCCCCCACCCCACAACAGTCCCCAGAGTGTGATGTTCCCCTTCCTGTGTCCATGTGATCTCATTGTTCAATTCCCGCCTATGAGTGAGAATATGCGGTGTTTGGTTTTTAGAGACTTTGCAGCTTCCGTTTGTCACTCTCTTAGAAGCCACCCATCATGTAAAGAATTCCAGCTACTGGCTAGAAAAAAGTCCATGGGGACAGAGACAAAAATCTTGGAGGAAGAAAGATCATAAAGTAGAGAGGTCCAGACAACTCCCAGTTATTCTAGCCATCCCAGTTGAATGGCAGATTTATAGATGAAGCCGTCTTAGATCCTCTGGCCTTTCCTAGTGAAATGTATGCAAATGAAAGAATTGTTTGCTATTTTCTTCTTTTATAAAGCCATTGATGATGAAATAAAACGAAATTCTGCCAAAATAGATGTCAAGAGGCTTATTCTGAGCCAGTATGAGTGACCATGGCCTGGGGTTATACAACCTCAAGGGGTCCTGGGAAAGTGTATCTGAGGTAGTCAGGTTATAGTTTGGATTTATATGTGGAAGATTCTGCAGGGTGAGGTGGGACATCTCAGTGTGGAGTTGGGGGTTGTGTAGTGGGCAACTTGTAAGTCATAGGTGGGTTTTAGGGATTCTTTAGTTGACAGTTGATTGAGAGAGTTAAACTATTGTCCAAAGACTTGGATTCGGTAGAAAGGAATGCTTGAGTTAAGGTTTTTCTTATGTAGATAAAGCCTCTCAGGTAGCAGCCCTGGGTGAGAATAGATGGGAAATATCTCTTTTCAAGCCTTAAAGGTGTAAGACTCACAGTTAATCTCTCCTAGATCCAGGAAAGGCCTAGAAAGGATAGACCTGCCTGCATTAATGGAGATTCTCTACAGATGCAAATTTCTCCCACAAAATATGACTTTGCAGGGCCATTTCAATTTGTTGGCCCTGTGGTAGTTATTTCTAAATACATCAAATAAAAGTATTTTGGGATGAAATATTTTGATTTCCTTCAGGATTTGCTATCTATCATGTGATGCTACACCAGAGTCAGGTTGGAAAGCAAGCCACATTATATGTGATTAATAATAAACATCTAATGAGATTTTGTGATTTGTAGGGCAATACCTTCTAGGCCCCTTAGATGGGAATTTTGGCAAGAGAAGAAAAGGTCAGATTTTAGTCCTCACCATTAAGTATTGTGGTGTTTTGTTATACAATAGGAGGTAACTGAAATGTTGTGTGAACCAGATCTGGCTAATGAGGAGAGGAGCTTCTGAGGCACAGAGCTGATGGGCAGGTACCTTTTTTTCTTTTTGCTCCTTTCTTTTTCTCCTTCCTGAAACAGGATTGTTGCAAATGCAGCAGCAATTTTATGATCAAGAAATGAAAAGCACGAGGATGAAGACCTATAAGTTAAGGATAGTGGAGAAGAGAGAGAGAGAGAGAGCCAGAGCCAATGCTAATGACATTGCTAATGACATCCCTGAACTACCATGCTTTCCTCACTTCTGTCTATCCATAGAATTCTTGTAGTTGAATAAGCACTTAAATGTTTGCATGTTAAATTTTTCTATTACGGTTGTTGTTCCTTGCCCTTGAATGTAATTTAAATGGACTCAGCAGATTTTAAAATTTTCATTAGAATTTTAAGACTTTACAAAATTTATGACATAATTGTATATAGCAGATTCAGGTTACAAATATAATGGTACTAACAGTAAGAAAAGTATCCATTTCTGTCTGTCTATTTTATAATCTACTGGAGATAGAATAGGATGGGATACTACTCCTTTTTCATGTAGTTTTTTTTTTTCTTCTTCTTCTCTTCACAAAACCCGCACCACTATCTCACTGATGCTATGCCCACTAACCCCAGGCTTTAGTCACACATAGGAAATAGCTGCCATTCTGTGCTTTCATAATGGTTAACCATGCCTTTCACTTAAAGAATTCCAGAAATTGGCTTTAGGAGAACTAAACATTGAATGAATCTTGTGAAGTGTCCCACCTTGGGAAGGAATGCTGAACAATTGATGTATAGCCTTATTGCTGCTGGCCAGACCACCAGGTAGCCCATTACTCAAGAAAACCATAGCAACAAGATGCGCTGACCTGCATACCCTACTTCTCATGTGCTTTGCCCAGCTCAGCCTGCATACTTTACCCCTGATGTCAATTCCTGTGCTTTGCTTAATAAAAATAAAAAAATACCTCTTGCAGATTTTAGGCTTTTTCAGAGAGCCAGCCAGAGGATCCTTCCACCTCACCTCTGCTGTCTCCCTTTTGCTCAACCACAAGTCCCAAAATAAAAATCTTGTCTGGGAAATCTGCTTGGCCCTGTGTTAACTTCTGTTACATGGGAGCCAAAGAGCCTGTGGTCTGTAACAGGTTCTCTGGCAACCATGACGGGATTATAGGACGTGGTGAGCATTTTTCTCCAAGGAGGAGGCTTGTGAGCCAGCATGATGGCGGGGTGTGCCTGCCTCCTTCATGGGTGACAGGTGGTCACCTGAATCTTTGATTCAGCATTGCCACAACTGGTGAGTTTTCTTCTTGCCTCCCCGAGACTGCCAGACAATGCTTCTCTCTTCTCCTGTCCCCTATTTGTTGTGTCTTTTTCCTTCCTCTTTCCTCCTACTTTTCCTTCACTTTTCATTAACTTCATCAGCTCAAATTGAATAGACACCTGTGCAGGACAGATTGCAATGGCTGATTGGTTCAGCTGGTAGGACTGTCATCTTTAAGTCTGCTAAGCGCTTTTCCTCCCTTTCCCACACCTACGGGGAAGGGAAGCCTGTGGGCTTTTCTGTTGTCTATCTTTTCGGGCATATTATCCTATGGACTGTGGGTGCTGCCTTTTGAGGGGAGAATTGACAGCACATGGTTCCAGAGTTTGAGCTACTGACTTCCTAATCCATTTTTCCCTGTTTGATTTGACAACATATTCCCCTATGCCTCCTGTTGGGTGGCATCTTGTAAAAAGTGAGAGACTTTTGCCTATGATTCCATAAAACAGAAAAAGATGTGCTTTTTTTTTTTTTTTTTTTTTTTTTGTAGCATGGCTTGGCCCCCACAGCTATGGCACAGGGAGCAGGGTCATCAAAATCCACTCTGCTCTTCCAGAAGCTGCAGAGAGAGGGAACCCTAAAACCTGACATGCCAGAAAAGGTAAACATTTCTTACCAGCCAGACTCCTGGCCTCTCTGTGTAAACCAGTTGATGAAATGTGAAAATCACTGTTTGTCTCCCCTGCAAGGTTTTGATTAATGGGAAAAGGGATTTGTGAGACTAGTCTTCAGCTGTAGCAAATCTTGTGTACTTTGAGCTATATAAATTTGTCTTTCTGTGTTGTTCTGTCATAAAGTGTGGCCCCATAGGATAAAATACGAGCCTAGGCCCTCTGTAAGCCTTCTGTTGCAAGCCAGCCCTGCAGACTGGTCAGCTACAAACTTTGCTGTTGGTCCCTTAAAAAAAAGCCAGATGAGGTTTCCCTCTCATCTTGTTTTACGTCCTTGGGAGCTTGACCTTGTGACCATGTGGGGGTACCTCTCCTGGTCTCTACCATCTGGAGGGCTGGAATTTTCAGGTTCATGTCAGGCAGCTAGCCTGAAAGGACTTGGAGTCTGAGCTGCATCAGCACACTCTTTGTCCTGAATGTGTCATGCCCTTGGGTGAGTTTTGTCTTAAATGGTCCCATTTCTATGTGGCTTTAGTTGTCTTTTGCTGTCTTAGGTCATTTCTGAGAATGAATTCTTGGGAACCATGTAGATGCCTCCTTTACTCCCTCTAGATATACCTTTTGCTTATATAGTAAAAACCTCTAAAATTACTATCTGAACTTCAAAAGGCTTTTGGATTCACTCACTATTGGAACTAAGTACACCATCAACAGAAAAAAAGGACTTCAGAGATCTCTTATTCTCAACAATTAAAGAAAAAATGGTTTAAAATAAAAGAAGGACGTGTAATAATGTCATAGCTAGCCTTTAAAATGATCTTGAGCATCCTGGTCAACAGAGTGAAATGCAAAATTTTTTAGAAAGTAAAAAGTTATATTGAGCAGTTAAAAATATTTTGCAACCTAAAACATGACTGCTCTAGGCTCCTTCTGGGAAGAGCAGTGGCAACTGCCATATGCTGTAGCTCAGTAGCTATAGACCTTGCCCTTTCATGAGGTGTGTGGCCTTGGTTCAATTCTCAGCTTAAGGAATAGGTTCTTTTTGTTTTGATAATTATGTAACCTTTAATACTTATTGATTCTTTTCTCCTCCATGAACAGCTTCTGAATTTGTCTCTTGAATTTTTCTTTCTCTGAGTTATCTTTGGGGCAATTCTAGCTCTTGTAAAAACCACTTGCCATCTTTTTGGAGACAACCTGTGATTCTGTGGTTAAGTCATAACCTTACTTAAGGCTTATTGGTTTCACTCAGGAAAATACCTTTAGGAAAACAAAAGGCTTAAAAGCTAGAGGTGTCAGCTGTTTGTCCCAGCCAAAGTCTCGTAATAAAAGATTTAAAAGAATTTTTAAATAAAAGAGCTCTATGCTTAGAAGTGAGCTTAATTAAAAGGGGATATCAAAGCTATATGCATACTTAAAAGGCCGTTATGTTTTTTCTCTTCTTGGATCTTGTTTTTTGAATATATATTATATATATATTATATATATATTTTTTCTTCTCAGTTGACTGAATTGTTTCTCCATTTACTTTTGTCTGTCCTCTTGCTACCCTCAAGTTCACATGAGAGGACCTAAGGTAATTTCTGACAGCCTTGGGAAAAACAGAGGAGGTCTCACAGGCCCTGTTTTGGGAGAAATCTGTTTTCCTCATGGAACCCAAATAATTCTAAGTGGACAGATCCCTCTCAAAACCTAAGGCTCTGCTGTGTTTTGCACTGCATTGTGTTACCCGACCTCTTTGACTTTTGTGGGCATCAGAAATTACTTTGCATTATTTAAAAAAAAACCTTAATTTGTAATAGCTAAATAAGAGATATACTTTTAAAAATGTCTAATGGCAATTGTTTATAGTGAGTAGCTACTACTACAAGCCGGTACTCCTTTCTTTGTGCATTTAGATAAGAAAAACATGCTCTTGAGCACCTAGAAGGTATAGAATGGGGGATGGGCTGATTACAGAGTGGGCTGATTGCAGTTGGGTTGCCCACCAGCCTTGGAGAAATGTCCTTGCAATGAAATACACTGTGAAAGTGTTGCAATGTCCCATCCCATAGTATGTGTCTCTTTTTTGGGACCCAAGATTCAGTGTAAAAATGGGATTCTTGACAACTCTCCATGCGTAAGAGTATCTGCTTTTCCTGGCGATCTCACATGAACTTTTACTCAAACCATATTTTCTTGGTTTGATTAAAATATAAATTCTCTATCTTATTTCACCTAAGAGTTGTCCCTTTAGATATACAAATTAGACTTGCCTCGCTGACAATTGCTTAGGACAGGGAACAGGTAGTCAACAGACTAATCGCCTAAAATGGAAAACAAAAGATTTTTCTTTACCTTTTAAATAACTATAGAAAAAAGAGAGAGGAGGAAATAAATTCAACTGGCCTCATGCTGTCTTTATTGGGTCTTATTGTTTGGAAAGCTGAGTCTCCCCTCTATCAATGAGTACAGGTTTTTGGCTTAAAAAATTTTTAGAGTTATCACTTTGGCTAAATAAATGGCTTATAGTAGCCTGGGATTCTGTTCTGTGTTATCAAGTGTTTTAAACCTTTTGATATCTGACAAACTTTTCAAGATCAAATTAAGCATTGGGTACTTTTAGGTCCAAAAGAGATATTTTTGGCTCATTTGGTATATTAAACCCATATAAGAAACATTGTTAAATAAAAAATGTTGTTTAACCTTCATTAGATTATATTCCTATAAATGTGTTAATATGTATTTGAAAATTATATGAGATTCCTATAATTCTGATATGCCTCACTATATGTTATTAATAATTGTGATTGTTATGTTAAATTATTGTGTGCCACAGAGATTACCAGATTTCTTTTTTTTTTTTTTTTAGATGGAGTTTTGCTCTTGTTGCCCAAGCTGGAGTGCAATAGCGCAATCTCGGCTCACTGCAACCTCTGTCTCCCAGGTTCAAGTGATTCTCGTGCCTCAGCCTTCCAAGTAGCTGGGGTTGCAGGCATGCACCACCACACCCCACTAATTTTTGTATTTTTAGTAGAGATGGGGTTTCACCATGTTGGCCAGGCTGGTCTCAAACTCCTGACTTCAGGTGATCCGTCTGCCTCAGCCTTCCAAAGTGCTGGGATTACAGGCGTGTGCCACCACGCCCGGCCTGATTACCAGATTTTCTTGTTGATTGTGTCATTAGTCATGGCTATCCTAAGACTTTTGCCATCCACAGACAATTGTTATCTTGTTTTGATTCTTTTCAAAAGGCAGTTTATAATCAGCTATAGAACTCTGACAGGTGTTCTTGAAAGCAAGTCTCTGATAACTTTGGAGATTGGACTATTAGAATAGAGGAAAAAACTTCTAAGACTTTCCTGGAGATGTTACATGTTAATAAATATTGAGTGGAACAAGAGTTAATTGCATGGACTAAACTAATAGAAAATCGAAATAATCTTTTTATAAATTTCCTGAAATTCTGCTGATCCTTTTTGTTTTGGTTTTCAGAGTCAAGAAAACTTTTTTCCTGTTGAACTAGTTATATCTTTTAACAATTAACTACTATATATTCCTATAAGCAAATTTGGAGCATGTTTCTTTCTACCTGATTTCTTTAGAATTTGGAAACTATTTGTGACTATTCTTAACTTATGGCAATATAGTTATTTGCATAAGTTCAATAAGAATCTGTTTTCTTTTGTAACAGAACACAAGTGGGGACACTGGCTATTTTACCAGGCTTTTGACTGAAATGGCATGCTTCCAACTGCTTTAAAAATTTGAGGTTGACTTATAAAGCCGATAAAAAGCCCCTTGGAGAAACTGGCCTCATACCTTGTCTATGCAGTCCCTGTATAGAGTAAAAAATGTCACTTTCTAACAGGTTCTGGAACTCCAAGTTGTATTGGGACCTTAAGAGGGGAGGAATTCACACAATTCATACAAGTATTTATAGGGACAGATAAATCAGTGGCTAGGTTCAAGGCTTTAAAAAGTCTAAGCTAAGGTTCCTTACAGAACAAAGTTCCCGCAAAATAAAAAATATATATATATGAGAGTCTATACGACAAATAATTATTCTTGCTGCACTTTATGCAAATAATCAGGCCAAGTATAATAAGACTAAAACTTAATTGCAAACAAATCAGTACTACCATGATTTGTCTTTGATAAAAGTGAAACTGGAGACAAAAAGACCATAACATACCTGTTGTTAGATTCTAGTCTTGTCCATTGTTATTGAGTTTTAAAATATTATTTTCTATGCAACAAATATCCAAGCTAACATTTTCAAGTTTTTCTTCCATTTTTCTGAGTTAAACACAATAAAATTGCTAGTATCTCTTTTCTAAGGCCCTGCAGACTAAAGTTTATTTCTTATAACACAGGCAAGAAAAATGTGTCAGATTGCCAGCATCTTCCTCCTCTGTAACTAAAGATGCTTTGAGTGTAACGTCTGGGTAGATTATGCCCACGATTAATGTTTGTTTTTCTTCTGGTTCCATATAAATGCCTCTTATTAAAAGTCTATTTGTCTTATATTTTGACAACAGGAGGTTGGTTCTCCAGTCAATTCACTTACATTTCAAATGGCATCTGATCTCTTCTTATAAGCATTGTTAAACTGGGCTTAAGCATTTTATTAATCACTGGGTGCTATTTGATTTTTAAAATAATTATTTATTATATTCAACAGGGGTACAGATAATTAAAGTTTATGTCTTCAGGCTTCAGCCATTCCAAGTCACGCTACTGATGGCCCAAGGAGTCCAACCCTTACCATCACAGGAGGATCCTAGTTCCTACTAATCTTTAGAACAGTCAGTGAAAAATTTCCATGCCCTCCAAGGTTAGGCAGGGATGACAATCCTATTCAGTAGGAAGTAGCTTCAGAAGATGAGATATTTGGCCCTCTCTAAGAATAAGGAGAATATAATCTCTCAGGGAGGAACTGAGATAGAATAGGAGTGGGATGTGGCTCCCTCTTCACATATTTTTTCTTCTTTATTCTCTTCACAAAATCCACAGCACTATCTTGCTGATGCTATACCAACTAATCCTGAGGCTTTAGTCACACATAGAAAACAGTCATTCTTCTGTGCTCTCATAATGTTTAACCACACCTTTTATTTAAAATATTCTAAAAGTTGGACTTAGGAAATCTTAACACTGAACCACAATTGCAGAGTGTCCCACCTCGGGAAAGAATGCTGAACAATTGATTTACAGCCTTGTCGTTGCTGGCCAGACCACCAGGTGGCCCATTACTCAAGATAACCATAGCAACAAGATGCGCTGACCTGCATACCCTACCCATCATGTGCTTTGCCCAGCTCAGCCTGAATGTTTTACCCCTGATGTCAATTCCTGTGCTTTGCCTAATCAAGCAAACAAAAAACCCTACTGGATTTTTTTAAGGAGCCATCCAGAGGATTCTTACACCTCACTTCTGCTGTCTCCCTTGCACTTCAGCACAAGCCCCAAAATAAAAGCTTTGTCTGGGAAATCTGCTTGGCCTCGTGTTAATTTCCATTACAGGGGAGGCCAAAGACCCTGTGATCTATAACTCTCTCTCTCTTTCTGTCATAAATTAATGAATGAAAACTGAAATGCATCCAATGCCACGGAGAACTTTTATTAGTGATCATTTCACTTAATAATTTAATTCGTCTCACCACACCTTGTTTCTTCAGCCATAAAATAGGGTTTATAATGTATCTACTTTGTAGGGCTGTTGGGAGGCAGAGAAAATATGTATAAGATGCCTAGATTTGTGCTCACACGAAGTAAACGCCTAATAAATGTTGGCATTAAACATTTATATGAAGAATGTTTTGATTTTCATGTTCTTTTTGAATACTTTTTACTTCTTCAATTTTCTACAATGAGAAGAATTACTTAATAATCACAAAGCAAAACAAAGCATGAAGGGCTTTAGAAAAATCTCTGGGTGATATTAATTCAATATTGAGCTCCAAATATAAAGTTCTATAGAGCGAGGTTGAGTTTTAAAATTTGTGGCTTATAAATAGCGCCTGTCAGGCCAGGCGCAGTGGCTCATGCCTGTAATCTCAGCACTCTGGGAGGCTGAGACAGGCGGATCACCTGAGGTCAGGAGTTCGAGACTAGGCTGGCCAACATGGTGAAACCCCATCTCTACTAAAAATACAAAAAATTAGCCGGGCATTGTGGCACGTGCCTGTGATCCCAGCTACTCGGGAGGCTGAGGCAGGAGAATCGCTTGAACCTGGGAGGTGGAGGTTGCAGTGAGTGGAGATTGTGCCACTGCACTCCAGCCTGGGCGACAGAGTGAGACCCCGTCTCAAAAAAAAAAAAAAGAAAGAAAAGAAAAGAAAAGAAATAGGGTCCATCAGAATAACTGTATACACAATTTGAAATATTTTATCAATATTCTTTAAATATTTTAACATTAAATATTAATAGCAATAATGGATCTTCATGGTAAAATGTATCTTTGTGTTATGCTCATCTACATATACTTGACTAAATTTGTGTACCTTAAAGTTGCCACAAAACCCCACCTCCTAAAGGCTACAGTGTTTCTGGATGGGTGGTTCACAAAATATCCAGTTGAACTTGTCTAAGATTTTTCTGAGCATATGGTGAAGAGGTGGGAGATGATGCTTTCAGTTACTCATACTCACTGGCTTTGCCTGGGCTGATACATTTCTGGAACTTTAATATTATTCAAAATAAAGTAGAGAATTGAGCACAATGTATTTGATTATTTCTGACTGTTGGTTGGTCTCCAGTGTTGATAGGAGTCTGGCAATAATAACACAGCAATACAGTCTAATGGCTTTGGATTCTTGAGTTTTAAGTCATTTTGTAACTCAAAGATGGATGTTCCAATTTTAGTTTCACTGCTGACTGGCTGCCTATTATTATCACACTGTCCTGTTTTTCTTAAGCATAAAATGGGGTTATAATGTTGACCTTTGTTTCTCTTTCAGAGTATTTGTTTCAAAATTCTTTAAGGTGTAGTGTAACAATGCATATAATGTGCCCAGACAAATTAAAAATATATAACTAGGAAAATAACTCAGGGAAATATCTTGAAATAAGAAAAATAAAATAAACCTAGAAGTGAGTAGTAAATTGCTTGCCAAGAGATACTGTGTACTTATTGGATACAGGCCACGATTTCAACTCAACGTGCTTTAACAGCCAATGAAAAAGGAAAAAAAATGGGTTATACAACTCAGAGGGTCAATAAAATAAAGTTGATCATGTCAATAAGCACAAAATCAAAACAAAGCAGTTGCTCCAGAGAAACTATGTTACCGGTAATTTCTCCACAGTAAATATATAGGTACTTTTCATAGGGCAATTTCTTATATGATTCTTTAAATTAGACCAATAAATGAACACCAAAACGTAATTTTATATAATTAATCTATATGGGGCCAGAAAACTATGTACTCATGTACAAGCTTTTTGATAATCTGGCTTAACCCATGCACTCACATTGAAGCTCCTAGAGAGACTTGGAAGGATTGCATATCTTTTAGGCAGTCCTCAATTATGCATCTTTAAAGTGTACCTTTGTTAAGAAGCAGATTGCAATTATAACATGTTGCCAGTTAGATTTCAAGTTAACTCACAGTTAAGTTTCAATGGACTGAAAAGGAGAATTGACTTCTTGTGAAAATTGAGTTTAAGAAGAACAGAAAGCTAACCAACCTCTTCATTCAGATGGGTGTAGAAATCATTGGTGAGCAGGGCTGGACCAGGATTCTTGTCTTGAATATGAGTCATGGAAGCAGGTTGTTCAACAGAAGAGCAAACTAAAAATAATCGTCTGGACACAGTGGCTCATGACTATAATCCCAGCACTATGAGAGGCCACAGTGGGAAGATAGCTTGAGGCCAGAAGCTCAAGACCAGCCTAGGAAACATAGTGAGATCCCGGTCTCTACAAAAAACAAAAAAGAAAAAAAAAATTAGCTGGGTGTAGTTACTTTTGGGAGGCTGAGGTAGGAGGATCACTTGAGTTTGAGAAGTCAAGGGCAACAGAGCAAGAAACTGTCAAAAAATAATAATAAAACCAAACAGAAATTAAAAATAATAAATTGAAAACAGACATTTAAAGAGATGAGTCTAAACAAACAAAAAACAGAAACAAAATATAATTTTAAGGTAAAATTTATTCTAAAAATAAAATATTAATTTTAAAATATGGAAAAAGCAACTAAGTTTAAAACAATAAAGTTTGAAAATATGTGCAATATAAAAAGCTAGATCTAAAAAGCAAAGTTATGAATGAGATTATTAAGACTAAAAGTAGTTTCTAAGAATGTACAAATAAAGTAAAATTGTTTTTATTAAAAATGTAGGAGTCACCATTTAAGTTAAAGAAAAATAAGAGTGAGGCAGAAAATCCAAAATATAAGAATAATGAAATTAGAATAAAACTTAGGAATAAATGTTATACAAGTTAATAATACATTTTAAGTCAATTTTGAGGTGCTGAACCATAGAAATCAATGTTTAGTAAAGTCAGAAAACTCAACCACAGTGTAGGTAGGCTACTGGGAGTCCTTAGTAAGGAAAGGTTTTGGTTTGAGGTGGCTTGAAGGTGCATTCTTCCTTAAAGGAGCAGAACTATGCAAATTCTTTAGCCCATGTCTTTAGTAAAGGCCCTCATTCTTGTCAAAATTTTCACAATTATAAGTAAAATTGTGATAAACACTTATATACCTACATCTTTGCACTTTTTTAAAGAGAAAAGTTCTGAAAGTTTAGTTGGCTAAAGTATATACTTTTTTTAAAAGATTTTTGATGCTATGTAATGCCAATTTGTCCTCCTGTGACTGGTAGTAATTTATATGTAAACCAACAGTTCATGAAACATCTATTTCACTCCCCCCTTGTATAAGGTTATTATGATACCATTTTCATTACTGCTGATAATTGAAAAATATCTTATTTCAAATTGTGTTTCTTTTTGATTGGTATTGAGATTGAACCAACACTCATTAAAGAAGTATTTGTTTATTCTGAACTCTTCCTCTTTTCTCTGTTTATCTTCATATAAACAGACGAGAATAATTCTCACAAGGCAGATAACTTAACTGGCAAATGACTTTGGTGTAGTCATTATATACAAAACATGTTTGTCCATATCTCTTTTGTTAAGCAGGCATTTCCCAAGCTTCCTGATTACCAGCTAGGTCTCAAACCTGGCTTGATTCCTAAGAAAATGGAAATATGATGAATTGATGGTAGTTATTTAAATTCCCAAGTTTATTTGGTGACATAAAACATGCTAAGATGACTCATGAACTTCCAGTTTAACTAAAATTAAAATGAAACAATAAGTTAAACTCAAACTGTTCTGCTGAATAATCAAAAGTAGATGTCAGCTGGGTGCAGTGGCTCACACCTGTGATTCTAGCACTTTGGGAGGCCAAGGTGGGAGAACTGCTTGAGCCCAGGAGTTTGAGACCAGTGTGGGGAACATAGAGAGACCTTGTCTCTACAAAAAATATTTTAAAAATTAGCTGGGCATGGTGGTGTGTGTCTGTGGTCCCAGGTACTCAGGATGCTGAGGTGGGAGGATTGCTTGAGCTTAGAAGGTCGAGGCTTGCAGTGACCCGTGATTGTACCACCCTGCATGGGTGACAAAGTGAGACTTTGTCTTAAAAAAAAAAAAGTCTACATACCAATGGCTGGTTTAGGATTATTGAATTATCTAATTATTTTGTTTCTTTTTGCGTATCAGATCTCAAAAATGAAAGCAAAGTGATACGAAATTAATATATTTTAATTGTAACATTCTATCCAATTCAAATTTTATTTTCTGATACAATTTATGGACTACACATTTATGCTCTTGTCTAATGCATAGTTAAGTCTTCTTTGGTTGGCCTTTAAAATGTTTTTCCACTGTCCATTTAGAGGATATTGCATATTCTGAAGATAGGGTCAATGGCTTCTATCCTCTAAATCAGTGAACTAGAAAATAACGTCTGTACATTAAGAAATATTCACATCCTCACAAAAATAGTTTAAATCGTGAAAAGGGAAGACTGACATTCTCACATTTTAAAATTAGATTTCAGATTATAACAGGAAAGGTTTAAAATTTCTTAGAAAACATAAAAATTACAAAGTATATGGTAAAAAATCTTAAGTAATTTTTACTTTAATGGCAATTGTTCAAAATGTAGAGAACTGTCTGAAAGCTAGAAAATCCAAGATTGACATTTCATTAGATACTATTTTAGGATTGTTTTTCTTGGTTTTAATAGAGTTCATTGAGAATGATTTTTCAACAAGCAAAGAGACATTAAACATGTAAATGTAAGACTTTTATTTTAGGAAAATGGTTGACTAGCTGAGTAGGTAAACCCATCCCAGCATGGAATCTCTGCAGTAATAGATTAAAAGTGAAAATCTTTTGAAAAGTCATGGTAAAGATGATAAATTAAGAAAAACCATCAGAGGGCAGAACTGATAAGAAAACACAAATCCAAAATAGATGAGGTTGAAGTCAGTGTTTGCTGTTTACCTGAACAGCATCTGCCAGTAGTTGGTAACCTTGAGCCTGAATTATAATGTTGCCTGCATGCATGGAGGCTGGAAAGAAAGTACTAATAGTATGAACTTGAGTTTCATAGAAGGCTGGATCGGAGATAACCTCAAAAATCTGAGACTGCTCTTCCCAGACAGCAACACCCTCAGTGACTGAACTTGAGGGAAAACACCCTTGCGGAGGAAATGTTAATACTTGTCTGTCTTCTTGCAATATTAATTATGCATTTTTATATTTTATCATGCTTTGACATCTTGGGGTCTTGCTGATCTTGGAGAGACTGTCCCTTCCAAGGATAGCTAATTGCTAGAGATAGCGAACAACTTGCCTATGAGCATACCTTTCATATGCAAGCCAAACAATCCTGTCTCTACCTTCAGCCACCTCCTTTATTAACTCTCACACACCATACCAATATTCTCCCTGCTCTAAATCACCAACCAGGTACTAGGTAACTAGAGACCACCACTATAGCCCAAGGCCTGCTGAAATTTTAAAAACAATTTCAATCTTGTACTTGCTCAGCTTGCCTACTCCCTTTGTTCCTGAAAACAAAGAAAGAAAGAAAGAACACAATCACGGCTTTTGTCCATGTTTCCCTTTGTCCCTTCTGTCCCCTAATTGACCCTGGTGCTTCCCCAAGTGGCTTTGCATGGTGTGGCATGCCCTATCCTCTGGGGGACTGTGAGCAATAAACTCTTCTTTCAAGGCAGTTATCTCCATGTCTGTCATTTTATCATACCTGATTAAAACAAATCCCAGGTACATATTAAAACATCTTGGCTTTGGGTAGAACAGAATGTAAAATTAAAAACAAATACAAGAACAATGAAAATCCTTTAAACTCCTAACCAGAAGCCCTTACATACATAGGTATGAGGCAAGAATCACATTGCCATGTGACTTCAAAACCCAAGTCAATAATTAAGTTAAAGTGATTCTGGATTGGTGATGGCCCCATGAGCTTGGCAAAAGGAGACAAATCTGCTATGGGGGAAAGAACTTAAACAATTTCCAGGCAATTTTTAGAGTTCCAGTGAGTATCATCTCACAACAAAATACCATTAAAAACATGAAGAAATAAGTCATAAACAAAGTTAGCAGAAATCAAATCAAATTAAATTCTCCTTTCCTCAGGGCCCAGTGGCTTGGAACTTCTGCTTATGGTGGAGGTAGAGAAAACAATTTCTCACAACCTTGTTCCTTTTCCAGGACTTAGTTCTCTGGTGCTGGGAGTGGGGGGAAGGAAGAAGGGTCAAAAAGCCGTTTCCATATGCAACTGCCCATAGTTGATTAGCTGATGTTTATTTTGTTCGTTGAAATCGCTCTTCCATTACTTAAGCAAACCCACCATGAGGTAGATTACTTATCCTTTTCTGTTTTTTGCAGCCACACTTCTATGGTAGGCATTCAACTGCTGGTTTTCTAAAGGGTAGATGTTTGTTGGTTCTGTGAAGGGTTCTAAGGAAGCCTTACCCTTTATAGTTCCCTAGCTTGGGAGAGTCAGCTGAGGCTTAACCACTTAACCTGCTCATTTCTGCTGTGGGAGGGGCATTCTATTACTTCGTGTTGAGAATTTTCTCTTCTAGTAGCTCTCTTGAAGTGAATTAATTTATCTTATTGACAAACTAATTTCTTTTTTTTTTTTTTTTTTTTTAGACGGAGTCTCGCTCTGTCACCCAGGCTGTAGTGCAGTGGCAGTGGTGTGATTTCGGCTCACTGCAACCTCCACTTCCCAGGTTCAAGCAATTCTCTGCCTCAGCCTCCTGAGTAACTGGGATTACAGGTGCCTGCCACCAGGCCCAGCTAATTTTTTTTGTATTTTTAGTAGAGACGAGGTTTCACCATCTTGGCCAGGCTGGTCTTGAACTCCTGACCTCATGATCCACTCGCCTCGGCCCCCGCAAAAGTGCTGGGATTACAGGCGTGTGCCACCGTGCCTGGCCTGATAAATTAATTTCTAACCAGCACCTAAGGTGATTGTCAGAAATATCTGTATCCTTGCCATACAACAGAACAGGCATACAGGTTACCTCCCCACCTTCTCCTTGCTGTTTTCTCTCCTCGACATCTTTCTTGACTTTCTTTTCTCTCATCAGCAGCTGTAAGTCTAGGGCACCCGATATCCTGCTGGCTCAGTAGTTAGGAAATTTCACACAAGGGATGATCAGCAGTCACAACTTAGTGAAAGGGGTAATGGTTTTAGCAACCTCCATCTTGTAGGATGACAGAGAATATACTGGATGCTTCTCACCAATGGGAGGAGTAAGAGAAGCTGCTCCACAAATTCTCATTCCCGTCAATAACGACTTCTAGCCTGCCTTCATTTTATACAGTCCAGAGGAAGTCAGGAAGTAAAGGGTTGGAATGATGAAGAGCTCCAACTGTGCTGAAATAGTGCCCCTTAGCAAGCCTCTCTTGAATGTGATTGAGCCCACAGCCGGTAGTTTTCTGACTTTAGAATTTGGCATTACTTGACATTACACTGTGGATTCTTTCATCAATTCTGGGAAAATAAGAAAATGCATTTGCATTATTTGGCTTTAGACTGTGGATTCTAGGCATTAATTCTGGGACAATAAGAAAGTTTTCTACCAGTATTCTACAACAGTGCTATAGTAACATAACTTATCATCAAAGAACAAAAATTGTCATTCGCATAAATATTAGCATATAAGTAACATCATTGAATTATCTGTACCATATTAAAACTAACGTTTGTAATGACAATTTAAGTTTTAAAATATGGAAAACTGGTTGTTGGAAATAGTATAAAAATATAAATAATATCAGAAATGAACCATAAAGGTAAGGCTTGTGCAGTTAAATATAGGTGTATTAGTCTGTTCTCATTCTGCTAATAAAGACATACCCAAGACTGGGTAATTTATGAAGGAAGGAGATTTAATTGACTCACAGTTCCACATGGCTGAGGAAGCCTCACAATTATGGCAAAAGGAAAACAAGATACAACTTACATGGCAGCAGGCAAGGGAGCTTGTGCAGGTAAACTCTCCATTATAAAACCGTCAAATCTCGTGAGACTTATTCACTACCACGAGAACAGTATGGAGGAAACTGCCCTCATGATTCAATTATCTCCACCTGGCCCTGACCTTGACCCATGAGAATTATTACAATTCAAGGTGAGATTTGGGTGGGAACACAGCCAAATCCTATCAATGGGTAAGATCATTATTCTAGTTGCACAATTGTTCTGAATGAGTTGTGAAGAGAGCCATTCAAACTGAGAGATTCTGGGGTGTTAATTTCCTTTATGAATTCAATTTTATGCTTCTGAGATGTATCCTATTCTACACTACTTTGAACTTAGAGGGAAAAATCTTTTTAAATTTTCATTTCTAGTGTCTCTGTTTCTTAACCAGTTTAGTATAATAATAATATAAATTTTGGGTAGCTATGCAAAGTATTGTAATCCAGTCTTTCTATATATTAGTATAAGAAAACGGCAAGCTACTTCCACATAGAATATTGATCCAAAAGTATAATTAAGTAAAAAATCAATTTAAGGTCTCCTTCTCATCTGATGGCCAAAGTTTAGTAAGATTTGTTTTTACTTAATGTTTATTTATTCATGAGTTCTTACTGATTTCATACTAATAGTTAATTTCAGACTTTTGTCTTTTAAGATTGATGTATACATGAACTACTCAAATTCATGTCAAGTCCAGTATCTTTCAAAACCATTATATTTCTTTAGAAAACAGAAAGAAATTGAGAAATTCTAATTTAAAATTATGACAGGAGCCTTATCCATTGACAAAATTCTCGATTATTGAAAAGCAAAGAGTAGTTAGAACAAAGTGAAGATTGATGTAATGCTCAGTATATATCTATGAATGAATTTATTAAACCTGTAGTTGATGTAATTGGGAGAAACAATAGCTCTTGAAAACACAGCTAAGGTTTATGTATGACTCTTGCCTGGTGCAACAACTTAACAAGCTCTCTGGGGAGGGTTTATCACAAGTATCTGTATCATATATATTGCTTCCAGCTGGATTAGCAATAGTTGGTCTGTTCCTGAAGTTTCCAGATGAAGTTAAAACAAAGGGCAATACTTTTCACAGTTCCACAAAGCCACACCCTGAAAAAGAGAAATCATTTTTAAAAGTTTTATTTTATGGAAGAAATGTATCTTCAAGATACATTCCTAGAGCTTCATTTTGAAAATACCTGTTACCTTATGTATTATTCAAAAGCAAACATTCGTGAAACTCTTTTCAAATTACTTTGACCTTTTACTTTTCCACTGGCTATTTGGCCAGATAATTGATGTGACAGAGGCTTAGATTTTAACCGTTGTGTGGTGATAAAAACACAATGGTTGATTTATCTTTGTGGTGGGATATTACTTATGACCACAGAATTTTAGATTGTCACCTGAGATCTTGGTTCCCTAAATTAGTAATTTTGCATTTTTTTCTAAAGTAATTAACTGATTAAAATGCATAGGACCTCTTTCCCAACCCACCTATTTAAAAACCCTATCATTCATGGAAAGAAACAAATCTTAATTTAAGTTCCTCAAGTTGCATTCTTCAGGTTTGAATATATAAAAGAAGAATGCAGAATTCTTTTTTGGCAAACACTATTGTTAACTGATTTCCTATTCTTCTTTTCCAGAAAACTCTAGTGGACGTATATGATTCATTTCAATAGGCTAAAAAACATTACTGTCATAAAAGTTCACTTTTGTTCATTTTTTATCATTTTGGAAAAGCTAAAATATTGTACATCATTATGTTATTTGTGAACATACTTTCCTATTCCAATGTTCAACATGCTTTAATGATTCAAGCAGACACTTCTTGGGTCATCTGGTGTCCCTCTTCCTGCCACCTATAGTCTTGGAAGGGTTTAATGTATAAGCTAATGTCAATATCATGGTTTCTCATATTCTTTATTCCTAAAAACCTGGGCTTTTTGAAGTATAGCTGATTCAATGTTTTAAGATCAGATAAATAAGAATGGGCTTTAAATATCTTGATGTTTTCAAAAACAAGAATACTTTCAGCAGTATCAGAGGTGATATGGAAAAGGGCAAGGCTGGGGAGGAGGCCCTGGTCTGTGAGAAGGCTTCTCAGGACCCAGTGTATAAGGTAACATCAGAAAAGAAAATAAAAATGATTAAATTAAATTCAAAGAAGTTGTCTGTTAAAGCAGACATGATTCCATTATAAAACTGTATCAGGTGGGGCACCAGGGCTCACACCTGTTATCCCAGCATTTTGGGAGGCTGAGGCGGGTGGATCACCTGAGGTCAGGAGTTTGAGACCAGCCTGGTCAACATGGTGAAACCGTGTCTCTACTAAAAATACAAAAAATTAGCTGGGCATGGTGGTGGGTGCCTGCAATCCCAGCTACCTGGGAGGCTGAGGCAGGAGAATTACTTGAACCTGGGAGGCAGAGGTTGCAGTGGCTGAGATTGCATCATTGCACTCCAGCCTGGGCAACAAAAGTGAAATTCCGTAAAAAAAAAAAAAAAAAAAAAAAAAAAACCAAAAAACAGAAACTGTATTAGTTCGTTCTTACACTCCTATGAAGAAATACCCTAAACAGGATAATTTATAAAGGAAAGAGGTTTAATTGATTCACAGTTCTGCAGGGCTGGGGAAGCCTCAGAAACTTACAATCATTGCAGAAGGGGAAGCAAACATGTCCTTCTTCGCATGGCAGCAGCAAGGAGAAGTGCAGAGCAAAGTTGGGGGGAAAGCTTTTTATAAAGCCATCAGATCTCATGAGAATTCACTCACTATCATGAGAACAGCATGGAGGTAACTGCCACCATGATTCAATTACCTCCCACCCGATCCCTTCCGTGACACATGGGGATTATGGGAACTACAATTCAAGATGAGATTTGGGTGGAGACACAGCCAAACCATATAAAAAACGGAAAAAGCTCAAATTAAAAAGTGGTTGGGGCTTCCAAGGTGGCTGAATAGGAACAGCTCCAGTCTGCAGCTCCCAGCGAGATCGACATAGAAGACGGGTGATTTCTGCGTTTCCAACTGGAAACAGTGGGAGCTCATTTTTTTCTGGTTGCTTGTGTAAGGCGGCTTTTGACTCAAGGTCTCACAGCAGTCTATGCTCTGGATGCTTCTCTAGTTTATTAGCATGTGGAGACGGGATATCTTCCAGGCATACAATGATTCTACTTCTATTAGGTTTCTTTCAGTATGAGGAAACACATTGTCTTCAGAGGACACCGCATTCCACCGAAAGCTGCACTTTCTCTGGAAAGTTCTTTCTGAGCTGAAATTTGACTCCCAGTAACTTTAATTAGTCACCTATAGCAGTTTTAAAAACATTTTAATCTACTCATGAGCTTTAATGACTTTAAGCTAATGCCTCTTATACAGTAATGTGTTTAACATGATATGTTTAAATATGTCTGTTAGCAATTGTACTTTTATTAACTATGGTAAATAAGAATAATATATTTCTATTATTAGCAATAATAGTCTATCATAATTTGCACTTAGGTACTTATCATTTTATATTTTTATAAACACTTAGGTACAGCAACTTCCCTGGCTTTGAGTCTCTCCAGGCTGGAGAATAAGTGTGAGGTATTGAGAGGAGAGAAGTAAGGTTGAACTCATCATTTGATTGATTTCAGGCTTTTTATTCTTTGTTGCTCTGTTAACCACCTACAGCCAAAGGATGAGGTTAGTCTCAGGTGGGACTCAGATGGGATGCATCAAGCTCGAGGGGATCAGTGACATTTATTTTTAAACATTATGATTTGTGAAAAATCAATTTTGCCTTTTGCTGCCTTGTTTTGATTTAGTCCAACTCTCTCTTTTTGTAGAAAACTAAGCCTCTGTACAAATGGCTGGTCTAAGAGCACCACAGCTTTCCTGCAAAGCTGTCATTTTTCTCATCTTAAAAAAACCCTGAAAAACCTGGTCTGACTAATAAAACACTGGTGTTTTGTTATTGTTGTTTTTCTCTGTAGAGGATACACACCAGCAACATGAAGCCTCTAGCTTCCTATTTTGGTTTCTCTTATATATCAAGATTGCCTGTTTGATCTGGAGAAAGGGAGCAAAATAAATGAAATGAAGTTATTGATGTTTTTATGTAATTGGCATTTTCTCTCTTTTCACACACAATTATATGGAGTTCATTCTGTAATACTGGCTTAATCCCTGCTACTAGAGAATTTCAAAGACAACTCATGCTGTGAAAGTGAGGTGAGAGCTAGGTGAATGACTAAAATAGGACAAATTTGACTCTATTGCTATTATTTATAAGAGCTATAGTAGAATCGTATCTTGAAGGATACTTCAAAGTTCTCTAAAGAAAAAATAAATAATAATAGGAACACTACTAACAGTACATTTTCTAGGATAAAGGCACGTTAGATCATTTGAGAATAGTTAATTGAAATGACAGACTTTAGAAGTCAGGTTTCAGAAATGTATAGACAATGCTTTTTAGTGTAAAAGAAAAGACAGCAACTACCAGGTAAATTTTCAAGGATTTATTTGGCAGTATTTCATGAGCATGTACAGCATGCAAATAAGCTAATAAAATGCTTCAACTCAGTAAACAGCTGCTTACAAAGGGATTTTAAAGATAAATGTCAAAAGAGAAAGATGCTTTAAAGGTTAAATAAATCGTGGAGTAAATTAGCATTAATAACAAGTTATAAGGAAATTAGAACATTTTTCACAGTGTTCACTGTTTCATAATGAACTGATCACAACAAATAAATCTTGATGAAAAGCAAGATTTATTTATGAATTGTAAAGAAAACAGAATAATTTATAGTAGAAATAATGGTCAAAAGGTGATTAGAGGGAAAAGGAGAAATATAGTATATTAATAACCTGAAGTTCATTAAAATTTTTACTTTGTTTTTATTAAGAATGAGTAGGCAAAATTTACAAGTGAAGTTAGATAACAAATAGCTATTATTTCTTCAAAGTCAGTTATCTTAAGACAATTAAAAATAATTCAAGGCCGGGCGCGGTGGCTCACGCCTGTAATCCCAGCACTTTGGGAGGCCGAGGCGGGTGGATCATGAGGTCAGGAGATCGAGACCATCCTGGCTAACAAGGTGAAACCCCGTCTCTACTAAAAATACAAAAAATTAGCCGGGCACGGTGGCGGGCGCCTGTAGTCCCAGCTACTCGGGAGGCTGAGGCAGGAGAATGGCGTGAACCCGGGAAGCGGAGCTTGCAGTGAGCCGAGATTGCGCCACTGCAGTCCGCAGTCCGGCCTGGGCGACAGAGCGAGACTCCGTCTCAAAAAAAAAAAAAAAAAAATAATAATAATAATTCAAAATATATGCTACAAAAATTCTCCCATAACACAGTGTTAATTAGGTAATATGACAAATGCATCAACACCTTAAAATTAGTGGAATATGATTTAATAAACTACTTTTTGCTTGAAAGGATTAGTGTAGTTTGATAGAAAACAGTGCTACATCTCTTTATTCACAAGTATTTAAATTTTATATTAATTTTACTTACAAAAATGATCATGTATATAAAATAGGAAAAATGCAGGCAATCAGAAAATGATATTCACTAATATAACTCATAATTCACAAAGCACAGCCTTGTATATTATTTTATTGTGCAGGGTAGTAACATGAATTCACTTAAAACAAATTGGCATCCTGTCAGTATATGCCTTTTTCCACTAGGAAACATAACAAGACAAATGTTTGAGCTGCAAACACATTTTCTTATTTAATAGCCACTAACAGCCATAATTAGTTCTTGGAAACTGTAATCCAATCAAGTGTGATTATAATTAAATATATACACACAAAGATAATTATGAATCTTTCTGGCAATAGTAAATAAAGTTATCTATTGTTGAAATATGATCACTATTTTTGACTATTGGTAAAAGTATTAATTTCTGGTCAACAGTCATTTTCACTCTTAGATTAGGTTGGAATATAAGTGGCTATGTGGAAATATGCATCCTAGTATAAAAGTTTGCCCAAAGATTTGTTTAATGATAGGTACAGAGACTCTAATTTATTAATTTCAACATATGAGTTTGGTTTTTAAAAATATTAAAGAGATTATAATTACTGAACGAGGGAGGAGGGAAAATAAAGATGACAAAGAGAAAAGAGCCAGAGAAGCAGGGAGAGGTGAATAGGCAGAGGAAATAGGGATGGGGTGGAGTGGAGCAACGCAGAGACAGACAAGGATAGTCACTGCAAAGATAAGAACAATAGAGAAGAATTCAAGGGGAATAATGTTACCTCCATAGAAGACCCTATAATCAGAAAGCCATAAATATGGGACCAACTATTTTTTAATTTATTTGATAGGAATTGAGGTTAGACTGTAATATTGGACATGACTCAATTCTGAATTCAATGCATATGCAGATTTTATTGCACTTACCATTCAATATGATTATTCACATCACCTTTGTTTCATAATTTAATTTTAAAAAACTGGATTTGAACTATTAAAAATTATAAAATTAATTACATTCAGCTTCAACCTGTTGAAACAAACCTGTTAGCATGACCCCTGCTGGTAGTCATCTAAACATGTATTGGGGTTGGATATTTAGGTCCCAGGAATTTCTGCATGTTGGTTAATATGATTTAAAAAAAAAAAGAAAAAGAAACATAGAGTGGGTAAATTAGGCCTTTTTGTTCTGTGTTTCATGTTAATTGTGTGCAAGACACTCTGCTAGGCATGTATTAGTTTTATTCCTGGATTTGGGCAAATATCTGGGAGTGGAATTGCTATGTCATATATGTATATATATATGTATATATATATGTGTATATATATGTATATATATGTGTATATATATGTATATATATATGTGTATATATATGTATATATATAGACGTATATATATATGTGTATATATATATATGTGTGTGTGTGTGTATATATATATATATATATATATATATATATATATATATATACACTCCGGTAGTGGTGAGAAGTATAACAAACACAGGGAAGTACATAAACTCTAGCTATATAGCTTAATGAATTTTAGAAAACTGAACATATACCCACAAGCAGCACGGAGATAAAAACATTAGCAGAACCCCAGAAGCCCCACTTGTGCCCCTTCTAGTAACCCCTCAACACGTTCCCCTCAATAGAATAACACTCCATTATATGAGAATATCACAATTTATTTACTCATTCTCTTGCTGATGAATAATTGAGGGTGCTTTTCAGTGTTAGGATACTATAAATAGTGCTTCTATGAATTATACCTTCACATAACTTTTGGTGAATATCTATACAAGCATTTCTCCAGGGTATATTCCTAGGAATGAAATTTCTGGGTTATAGGGATATAAATGTTAAACTTTCATTGATACAGCCAAAACGTTTTCTGGTGTGGTTATATTAGTTTACACTCTCACCAACACTCCCACTCAGTTGTTCCACATACTTACCAACACTTAGTATTATCTTTTTCATTTTAGCCTTTCTGATATAAATGTAGTGGCATAGCATTACGATTTTAATTTACATTTCTCTAATGCCTAATGATTTTGAGCACATTTTCATATATTTATTGTGCATTTGTGTATCACCTATTGTGAGGATCCTTTCCATTATTTTCTCTTATTGATTTGTAGGAGTTCATTATATATTCTGGAGACTTTTTGCTATATTTACTGTGAATAATTATTCTAGCCAGTGGCTTGCATTTAGCAGCTTTTCTGAGGAATAATTTACATGTCATACAGTTGCCCATTGTAACTATACAGTTCAGGGATTTTTTTAGTACATTATGCAGTTATGCAATCATCCCTACGATTCAGTTTTAAGGTACCTCCTTCACCCTGAAGTTTCCCTCATTCCTGTTTTCTGTCAGTACATGCTCCAACTTCCATCTGCAACCACTGATCTATGTCAGAAAGTGAATATTCTCATGTTTCTGCATAGTTAGGACTTTCTGACAAATGTTACTGGCACCTGGGTTAAAGGACAAGCTTGGATGTTAAAGGGTGTTAGATAGGGAATTATCTGTTCTTAAAGAGTAATAAAACTTCTGTCAGAGCCAACAGCTTGCATTTTGGGGTACTTTCCCCTCTCTTTTCTTCAGAACATTCATTTACAGTCCAAAGGATTGTAAAAGACCAGGGAGCAAATGTTTCTTAGGAAGGGAGGAGAGGGAGGACATTTTATATATATATATTTCCAGATTCATAATTTTAGGTTTCCTCTCCTATGATGCGACCCCTGTACATGTAGTCCTAAACATGTGGCTCTCCTTGCATCACCTGTGCGACACTGCTGCAGTTATTGCTGTAATGAACAATGATGACTCTGAGTTCCAGAAACTTCATGCTTGCATTCAGGATAACAAGGAATAAATACAGATCATAAAAACTTACCAAGTTTACTGACAAGCATGAGATCCTGTTTGAAACGTGGTTTTCTGAAAGACATAGAGGATGGCCCCCAGGCTAACAGGATTTGAAAGAAGACAGCAAGAGCCAACAGCAGACAGATGGAAAAGATTGGAAGACAATTGTTGGTCGAAGGCTGGGGGTAGGTTGGAACAAGCAGCCCAAATGGTTTTAGGTTTTAGAGAAGGCTTTTAGTTTTTGCCCTCTCTTCCTAGCAAGAGAAGAAAGGATCTAGGAATTCTCAACGTTGGGCTTTGGGTGGGTGGGTAGAGAATGTGAGAAATCTATGTTGTTCACTCTTCTATGTAAGAGAAGAAATACCCAAGGTAGGCTTTGGATAGGTCCCGAATAGAAGTTACCTTGTTCACTGCTCTCTCTTCTAGGCAGAAAGAGAAAGGATTAATTAGTTCCCAAAGCTGAAGCAGGCTTTGGACATTGCAGCTGCTAAACTGCTTGGACCTGAAGGGAGCGGTATCTCACTTACTCAGGTGGGAACACTTTGTTGGCTTCCTGATCGCTCACTTCCACTCTGATCTCAGCTCCTTGAAGGTTTTGGGGTGGGGCTCAGGCCTTCTCGTCACCAGAAGGCGGAGATAGCTCTACACACTCATCGCTTTATGCTGGGAGAACTTTGGAAGGGAGGAATTCACTTGCTGATACCTCTGTTGGACATAGGTATAATGTGCCTAGTTCTGTGGCAGAAACGGATGTGGGACTCAGGTATGGAGAAGGGTGCCAAGAAAGTAAAATGCGGAGTTATGGTTGCATATGAGTTCAGAAAGAAATAGCCCTAGCACAGCCAGGATGCTGAGAAGTGCAGAGGCAAGGGGCCAAATAAAAAGGTAAGGGGAAAAACCTCTCCACCCACCCGCCTCACCTAGTCTCCACTGCCACTGCAGCCGCCATTGCTCCCAGCTGGGAGAGAGCAGGATTCCTCAGCAGCTGTGACCTTAATCTCTGAAACACTATGTTAACTGTTAGGACTTAGAGCAAAACTTGGAGAAAAGAAAAAAAAAAGTTTAGTAAAACACTGTATTGTTTTGTTGCTACTATGTCTGACTGTATAGTAGAAATAATTGCAGGACTTTTTATGCTTGTAATTCCCCACCTCATAGGTGCTAGAGGGGATTATTTAATTAAGAATAGCTACAGGTAGATAAGTTTTAGTGGGATTTGCCTTAGAGACAGAATAACTCTCTGACTGAGGACTTAACGCTATTTGCCCAAAGGGAGCCTCTGGAAATTCTGGTGATGATGACATAAAAAATATGGTTTCAGATACTAAATTAAATCAAGAGTTTTTTAAAAACCTTGGTTATAAAAAGGTTTTTTTCTCACAGTTGTTTAGGATTTAGAAGGTCAGCTGAAGGTATTCCCTGTTCATAATTCTCAAAGTTGAAGAACTTTAATTCTTAAAGCATTGTTTCTAGAGAGATTAATATGACCGAAGTGATATTAAAAATTATTTTTGGATTTTTATACTGAAAGACAAATTTTACTTTTCTTTGATTATGCAATAAGATGCTCTCTACTTATTATTGGCTGAAGAATTTCTACAAAGAGTGGATAGGTAGACATTTCTAATAAGACTTTGTTATTCTCTTGTTTGTTTTTCAATTATTGGGATTGATTTTATCTAATATTGCATAAAACATCTGACAAAAAATGTTATAGGATTGCAGTAAATTTGAGCATAAGGCAATTTCAAATCATAGATATGAAATTGAAAGTTAGATAAATATGTTCAAATCTACCTAATCCCCAAAGGCAACATTCAGGTTCTGTGCTTTAAATAATACCATGTTTAACCAATGAATCAACCAAATTCATAGAGATGCTATGACTAGTAAAATATTTAAGAAAAATATATCTTTAAAAAAAGCAGAATTTCTGCTCTGCCAAATTGGAGAGGTTTGTAATAAAATACCCAAGGATGTGAGGTATATTCCATTTGGCTTTATAATTCTATGAAGACATAGAGGTTTATTTTCTAATTATATTTTTTTCCTTTCACGATTTGGTACAAAAAATTATTGACAATTTAAGCCCTCATCTATTTTTTTCTGGGAACTCATTTAAGCTAATGTATTCTGTAATATTCCAAGTAGTGTTAGAATAATCATGTTCTATCCTGTTATGTAATAAAGATGATAGATAAAATTTGCTCTCAATTTTGTGTAATTTTTGCTTCACTTTTGCTGTAACACCCTGTTGCTATAACTATACATTATTAGAGTTAGTTTTTTATAGTGTTAGAAATTTCTGCATTTCATATCATTGCTGTTAAAGGTATTAAGGATGATTAGTTCTATTTTTCAACAATGAAATCCCTGTACCAGAAATAGAAAGTGGAAACTTAGGCAAATGTGGTTGAACATATGGATAAATGTGATTATCTTATGTATTCACTCAAAAACATTGAGTGCTAAGTATAAGTAGGACATCATTTTATATACTGGCCATGCATATGTAAACAGAACTTACAGAAGTCACTTTTCTTAAGAAGTTTATATTCTAGGGGAATGAAACAGACAACAAGGAAAACTTGTGAGTAAACTCTGAAGGATATTAAATGCTAATGAGAAAGATCAAGCAGGAAAGTGGGGTAGCCATGGTGGGAGGATGGTGGAGATGAAGTGTTTGATTATTGGGTTCATGGCTGCATCTTCTAGGAGAATGTGCACTACCACCTGAACGTAGGGGCACTACCCGAAGGCAAGGACTCTGCGTGATGTCACTTGCCATCACATCCCGATGCACACCATTACATGGGGCACTTAACAAATGCTGAAAGAATGGATGGATAAACTTGGTGTAGAATGAATCCTCCCCTTATCCTGATCTACTCTTTTTTCACACTACTTTATATGGTATATAATGTTATAATTAGTTATGTTTATTATTTATTGTCTGCTTCACTCAGCTAGAAGATAACCTGCCCAAGGGTAAGAATTTTTATTCATTTCATACACTGATATATCCCAAGATCCTAGAACATTGCCTGAGAGAGTAAGATTCAGCAAGTATTTGTTGAATGAATGAATGAATTCTATGAAGTCATTGTATGAAGAAACAATTTAGCTATTAGTTTACCATAGAGGAATTGTGCTGCTTTTGGCAAGGAAATTTTTTCCTGCCAACATCACACATTCTGCTACTGACAAATTCACAATTTGTATGTTCAAAAATGGTATGAATAAAATGCTTAGGAAGCTGATCCTGATGCAAAATTCATGTGCCTTAGAAAATCAAGAAACACCTGCACTTGAAAATACATAGCATTTTTAGTTATATTAGCTTAAACCTGGAAACAACCCAAGTGTCCATTAACATGTGAAAAGATAAAAAATGGCATATCTATATAATAAAATACTGTTCAGTAATATAAAGAAATAATGTGGAGATGTGCGCACTAATATGGTATATTCTCAGAGAGGAATGTTGAAAGTACAAAAAAGTATTATTATTCAACTATCAATGACAGTGTTCCTCTGTTCTTAAGAATTTTAAAAGGGGTCTGGTCAAGAAAACAAAAATATCCATTCAATTTTTAGAAAAAAGGAAGAAAGAGTATGTAAAAACAGATGAAACAAGTTCTTTAGTTAGACTTGAAATTTGACAGACCTGAGGTAGATGTTTTCACTGGCTGAAAGGTACTACAAATATTTTTGTTGTTGATGTTTTCATTGGAAAAAAGTTTTTATATCCCTTCTCAACCCAGAAACATAGCCATATTCAAAAATTATTTTCTGACAAAGCTAATGAGAGTTTCTTTTGAAACCCTAAGAAAGATCAGAGGTTTAAAAGAGGTGCAGTTGACACTTGAAAGAACCACAGGCAGCCTAGAAACACATCCTGAAGATCACAGTTTAGGAAGCTAACACCTGAGAATGAATTCCTCATATTAACATGGCATCAGTGATTAGGGCACAAAACTCAAGGACACAGTGTTTTCCTTCCTGGCCATCTTGAAATCCCTAGTGATTTGCTGCCAGCATTTTTAGAAACATTTTTGTTCATGACTTATACATGACTATTAGATTATATTTTAATTTCTTGAGGGCAAGACACTGAGACTTCTTGTAAACCACATCCTGCCTAGAGCCCTGGGCAGGTGGCAGGTACTCTCTAAAACAGTGATCAACATCCATGAAGCCATTTCCAGTAGAACACTGTGGGCTAAATTATTTTCACTGAGAAGATTATAATCATTTATAGAGAACTTAGAATTACATCACAATAGGTGATGCCTACTGGTATTTCTTAATCCTAATTTGCCTCTTTGCTTCTTTTTTTGTCTTTCTAGGAACTTCTAGAAGATTCTATGTTTACACTATGTTTCCAATAACAGTATAGTTCCTCAGAACCCTAGTCCTGTGCATTGTGCCACAGACAGCAGTTTTGTGGTGAAATTATGAAATACTGTATAACATTTTCCTTCTGTCAGGGTTACAATACAAGCTAAGATTTTAAAAACTCCTCTAAAAGAAAAACCTGCATTAAAGTGACTCCTTTGACGTTCTTTAACCCAGCATCTCCCAAACTTACTTTCTTCAGAACTCTTTTTTAGTGTAAAGATGTCTATTTTTAAAAAATGTATAAGATGCCATCTATTTTAAGACATGTCATTTATGTGCCACCAGGAAAGAAAAACATGAACAATATGCCTTTATTTTTAAGACTCATTTAAAAGATACTGTCGACAAAACACAAACTTTAGGAAATACAACTTTACACTATAAAATAAAATGGAGCCATATATTCTAGAAATAAAATGTTAAAATTAAAATCATTTAAATCATCTTACCCAATTTAGTAATTTCAGTACTAGATTATAGATTCTTTTATACATTTTCAGAAACTGTGAGCTGTGATATAAATGGATTATATCACAGTCCTTTGAGTTGTGATATAAATGGATTATATCACAGTCCTTTGAGCTGTGATGTAAATGTATTTAATGGTATGCTGTCATACCACCACACACATTTTCAGATCACAGTTATAACTTCAAAGATCATAATTCTAGCTATCTGTGACTTTTCAAGTGTATACTGTAAGCTTCAAGGCCTCTGCATTAGGAGAGGGCACTTCAAAGAAAACACCAGGGTCTACAGGATCCACACCAATCTATGCTCATTGATGACCCATGATAAACTTCATTACTGATAATACTCCTTTAATTCTCCTCATGACGTTTGCATGTGGGGTTTCCAAGCAAGGTTACCTACTCCAGGCAGGATCCGTATCTTCCATTTCTCTGTATCTCCCCACAGTGTCCACTTTGTATAAGAGTAAGTTTATTACTTTTAATGGGAAAAACCGCAACTAGTTTTGCACCAACCTAATATAAATGTTAGTTATTATTATGGGAAAATCTTTCTCCATGTCATAGCCAAGGGGAAGCATCTATCTGTAAAATCATATTATATTACTGTGGTTGTTAGCAAACCATTCCTTCAATTGCCTATTAGTAAAGATTTTTATTTTTTAGGACCAATGATACAATTTTAGCTAGAAGTTAGATCAGAAAAGCCACAGTAAATTTTCTAGTGCCATAAAGTAAATCATTTTAATAATTAAGATACATAAATAGTTTATGATAGAAACAATAAAGTTGTCTCAACTCTGCACAAACATTGAATTTCCAAGTAATTTGTAAGGAATATATTCATCTTATTACATTCAAAATCTTGGTTGAACAATGACGATTATAAAGTTTTCTGAATGATGTTTTTTATAGTCTGAATTCACACAGTATTACATTAATTTATAGTATTACAGTGCTTGGTAATTTGAAGAAATGAAATAAAATTATTCTAATGGTATGCAGGAAATAAAAATAAAATAAAGTCATTTGCATAACTTTTTATAAAAACAACAAAATATTTTTCTGTAAAAATAAATTAGGTTTTTTATACTGAAATGTTCTTCTAGTAAAGTGTTTAGAAAATAGTTACATTCATTGTGGGCAGTGTGCTCAAACATTCTTATTTGCCATTCCCTCACGCATGGTAAAATGAGGTGCAAGCTGTTCACATGTGAGAAAAACAGCTTTTCACAGGAAAAGAAACATATATATATATATAAAATAGAATTAATTAAAAAACCCAAGTGTCATATGACAGACATACAAAAATTCACCAAGAAAATATATTCTTCAAGGCCTTTGAGGTGACACAATCTTTGACTGTAATTTATCAAAGGTAGTTTTAATCATGCTACCCTGTAACTTCCATCAAATTAGCATGCTTGCGGATGGTATACCCTGTAACTTCCATCAAATTAGCATGCTTGCGGATGGTAGGTTATTGTTCTCCTCCTATAATTCAAAGCAGTGTTTGGTCAGTTGACTGAAGCACAGCAGTGGAACTCAGGACTCACCACGTTTTCTAAAGGAGCAAGAGAAATAAACATCTCCACTCTCTCTAAGTGTGGCTTGCAAGAGTAGCACCTTGGCACTGAGCAGGACAGTTTTCAGTGTGGCGGCCAGGTGGCAGAAGTCTCTGGAGTGGCACAGCATGAAAACAAGCCTGACGCTTAGGCCAGCGATATTATCGAGCCAAATTTGCTGGTTTACCTAGGAAACAGATGAAAGATAAGAACTGATTAAAGTTTAACCAAACAGGAAATATTTGTGCTTATCCACAAGTAACACCTGAATGGCAAGTTGAACCTGAGACTGCTTTCTGCTGTTTCTTCTTCTTTTTTTTGCTTTTCTTTTGCTTTTTCTCAGCCTGATTTTTGCTTGGCTTCTTTTTCTTGGTTTCCTCTTTATACCATGGTCCCCAGACCCCTCCATTGAGCCTAGGGTTACTTCTGGGGTCTTTGGGGGGATACCTGACCGGCACTGCAGTTTTGTTGAACTGTGAGAGCCTCCGTAGGAGCTTCTTCACGATTCCTGGATACCTGTTAGATAGGTCCACCCTCTCATATGGGTCGGCTGTGATGTTGAAAAGCCATACACTTTTGCCAGTTGACAAGGTGATCCGTTCATTGTGCCACCGGTTCGGTCCCAGGTTGCTGAAAGACTGAGGGGGGACCCAGTCGCTGTAGCCAGGATTTCCTGTAAGCAATTTCCAGTGCTGCACTCTGATGGCTGACTGGATTGCAGTGTTCCAGATCCCATAGCCTGCTGCCCAGGAGCCATTTTTTGCCTTGGTGTATATGGGGTCAATGTTATGCAAAATATCTACTCGGGGTGAGCGAAGACCCTCACTTATGGTCTCCCAGATATCATAGCCATCTAGTTGAATGTCCTCATCAATCTGTCCTTCAGCCAGTGAAATGAGAGTGGGGTACCAGTCAGTGATGT
Organism: Homo sapiens; assembly: GCF_000001405.40. NCBI lineage: Eukaryota > Metazoa > Chordata > Mammalia > Primates > Hominidae > Homo > Homo sapiens. The sequence continues at coordinate 113,902,948 of NC_000004.12, forward strand.
GCACAAGTTCCTTACACACTGTTCCCTTGTTTTTCAGAAGTGGGCTATGCACAAAGCCTACAGCCCGGATCCCTCCTTCCCAATATGTTCCTTTGCTACCTCTGAGAGGCCAGTTACTCCCTCCTGCCGTAGGCTGGCCACCATTATCTGAAGAGTAAATGATAATGCTGTTGTTATAGAAACCATAAGTCTTTAGAGCCAATGTCACGTTGTTGATTGCTTCATCTAAGCAGGAAAGCATGGCAGCATATCTCCTCCTGTTTATGTTGATAATGGATCGGTAGTGTTCGAAATACCTGCCAGGAGCTTGCAGTGGTGAATGAACAGCTTGATAGGCAATATATAAAAATATAGGCTTTGTGGGGTTATGGGAAGCTAAGATTTGCTGTACTCTCTGAGTGTACATCTGTGTGGAGTATATGCCATTGTCATAGTCCCAGGCAGCATTGTCGTTTTCATACAAGTCATAGCCACACATCCCAGGACTGTCACATTTGTAGTGTGTATAGTAATCCCCACTTCCCAAAAGGGAACCAAAAAAGGTATCAAATCCTCTTCTGGTGGGCATGCATTCTTTTCTGTAAAAACCCAAGTGCCATTTTCCGACCATATGCGTTGAATATCCAACCTCCTTCAGTTTCTGAGGTAGGGTGGCATTGTCCAGAGGTAAACAGTTGGGTTGGGTAGGTCTTATGATAGAATGTTGAAGTCCGGTGTGTATCTGATACCTTAAGAAAAGAGAAAAAAATTGTTATCAGGGCAGGATAAAAGAGATATTCTACATAAAACAATGATCCCTAAATTAAAAAATGTTTCTATGGGCATCATTGTTAAATTATAATTGACCCCAATGATAAATGACCAATTCAGCATTTCTGCTCTTTACTCACAAGTCTTACTCTAATTAACTTCCTATTTAACATTTGAAATGCATTTCAATCTAAGCCAGTACTTTTGAAAGTAAAATTTTGCCACTTATCTCGAAAGTCTTTTTGAGACGGAGTCTTAGTCGTCACCCAGGGTGGAGTGCAGTGGCGTGATCTCGGCTCACTGCAACTTTCACCTCCCAGGTTCAAGCGATTCTCCTGCCTCAGCCTCCCCAGTAGCTGGGATTACAGGCATGCACCAACATGCCCAGATTTTTTTTTTTTTTGTATTTTTAGTAGAGACAGGGTTTCACCATGTTGGCCAGGCTAGTCTCGAACTCCTGACCTCAAGTGATCTACCTGCCTTGGCCTCCCAAAGTGCTGCGATTACAGGTGCGAAGCCACTGTGCCCAGCCTCAAAGTCTTTTAAAGTTCTTATAGTGGAATTAATTTGAATACACTTTAATCTCTTAATTACATGACTGAAAACTGACAAGGTAAGAGAAAAGATATACGGAATCAGAGTGTTATTATTATTATTGCTTTTAACCTAGGGGCCTTCTAAATCATTAGCTCCTAGTTTCCTGAGATCATTTATTTCAAGCTAACTCTTAAGTACTAAAAATACAAGGAAAAATTAGAGAAAAATCTCCTGTTTGATTGTAAAACAATAGTTCATTCTTTTTTTTGAGACGGAGTCTCGCTCTGTCGCCCAGGCTGGAGCGCAGTGGTGTGATCTAGGCTCACTGCAAGCTCCGCCTCCCGGGTTCACGCCATTCTCCTGCCTCACCCTCCGGAGTAGCTGGGACTACAGGCGCCTGCCACCACGCCCAGATAATTTTTTTGTATTTTTTTAAATTAGAGACGGGGTTTCACCGTAGCAGCCAGGATGGTCTCGATCTCCTGACCTCGTGATCCGCCCACCTCGGCCTCCCAAAGTGCTGGGATTGCAGGCGTGAGCCACAGTGCCTGGCCCTTAATCTCTAATCTGTTAGATCTCTGAAACGAGATAGAGGTTTCTGACTACACAATACATTATTGTTTAAAAATCATTTTAGAATAAATGTTTTAGCTAGTGCTACAAATTATATTTTTCCAAAAACAACAGGTAATAAGTCCTTATGTATGTTTCCCACAGTGTCTCTTTTTAAAAAACTATAATCACTTATAAAATAGTCTAAGAAAGCATAACACTTTCTAATATGTTAAAAATTAAGTGAATGTTAATTTCTTGCATTTTTCTCTTTCCAGTGGTATTTGCCAAGGGCGTTTTCCAAGAAGGGGTTATTATTACACAAGTGTATGAATTTTCACTTGGGCCATGATATACTAGTTAGTTTCTGACATTTAAAAATTGATTCTATAGTTATAAGTTGAAAAACACTTTTAAAATAGAAAATATAAAAATGAAAATAAAATTAAGGTTGCAGAAAATTGTTAGGGTAAATATGTAAATAATCTTGGAATCAAATTACAAAAAAAATATTGAGGTCAAAAGCAGCTTTTTTCACAGTGATTTAACCTGAAAGGCCAACATGTTATACATGCCTTGGATGAATAGTTCAATTTATTTTTAATGTTTTAATGATAGCATGATGAAACTATGAGCTTTTTGAAGTGTTAATTGCAACACACACTGATGTTTCTGTGGGCACTGGAGTGATATCTGATCACTATTGCAAAGCAGCATTCACATGGACCCTGTTTACTCCACTGATCATTTAGCTGTCAGTTTTGCAATAGTCATGATTGTGGTAATTTAAAATGTAAGAAATTCCTAAAGAAATAATCTTTTCATAAACATCATAAGTACCAAGTTTAGAAGGCATTGTTACTGTTCTTGATAATTTTTTTTTTTTTTTTTTTTTTTTTTTTAGACAGTCTCGCTCTATCACCCAGGCTGGAGTGCAGTGGCACGATCTTGGCCCACTGCAACCTCTGCCTCCCGGGTTCAAATGATTCTCCTGCCTCAGCCACCCGAGTAGCTGGAATTACAGGTGCATACCACCAAGCCTGGCTAATTTTTGTATTTTTAGTAGAGATAGCGTTTCACTGTGTTGGCCAGGCTGATTTCGAACTTCTGACCTCAGGTGATTCACCTGCCCTGGCCTCCCAAAGTACTGCCACTGCACCTGGCCTGTTCTTGATAATTTTTGGTCCAGTCCAGGATCCAAAACATTCAATTGTGAAAAAACTAATTTTTTAACAAGTGAATGTTTTAGACACAAGTGAATGTTTTCTAAAATTAGAAAAAAAACTAATTTTTCACACAAGTACATGACAAATTAGTAAATACCCATTAATGGAAACTTGGAGGAAATTAAAAAGGGAAACATCTATACGGGTAAAAATTTTGGGAATCATTTATGGGGATCAGTTATTAACAAAATAATTATGCAGAAAATTGATTTGACTGGAATGTCTATTTAATTCATCAAATGGTAAACCAGTTAAGCATTTCTAACTAAATTGGTCATTTTCTCACCTATTGGCAAAGGCAACAGGAAAAGAGGCTTATGAAAAACATAAAATACAGGAAACGTTTGCAGAAAAAAAAGAAAGTAAGAAGAGGTTTGCTGCTTTCAGAAAATGGTGTAGCGTCTGCAGATAAATAGGAGTTCAGAGCTACTAATCAACTATGAGGTTTCTGTCTTCTCTAGAAAGTAGAATGGTTTTTAAATTGGAAAATTTAAAACCAGCAACATAAAAGTTTGACAGCAGCTTATAACAGGGAAGAGGTTTTCAGAGCAGCTCCTGCTTAAATGAGTTCCAGCCTCTATGGTGGAATAGGAGGAAGTTTCAGGTAATTTGGGGTGTGGGTTAAGGGTGTAGGTTTTGGAATCAAACAGACCTGGGTTTGAATTTGCTCCACTGCTTATTACCTGTATGGTTTTGGGAAGTACTTAATCCCTCTGATCCTCAGTTTCCTCATCTGTAAAATAGGGATAATAATACATATTGGGTTGCTGCAAGCATTGGAAGGGAGCAGAGTCTAGTAAGGAAGGTATATTTATTCAGCGATAGCTTTAACAATTATCCCAGAATGCTGAATCGGTGTCACTAACATTTGCATAACGCTTTTTAATTTATAGATTTTTTATATGCATTATTGCATTTAAGTTTCACTGCAACAGTGAGAAGTCAGATTTTTTAAGTTCATTTTATAGATGAGAAAATAGAGATGTAGAGAAGTTGTGGTTTTCTCCCCAGCACCCTCAACCTGCCCCACCAGGCTGTGAAACTGATTCTTGATCAACAGTGGCAAAGTCCGATGCACTCTCTGTTCTTTTTAAGAGTTAATATCAGTACTTTTTGAAAAATCAAGGAGCAGAGGAAAGATGCCAGAAGTCTTGAGAAGCAAATCTGTTCTAACTTTCCAATTAAAGAAAGGAAGGATTTGTAAACCGGATAGTGAGACTTATGTTGATCCCAGAAAAATTTGAGAATGATTTTTTTAAAGTATGTGATTTGTAAGCATTTCAAAAATAACAAATGGGACAAAGTCAAAAAAGAAAAGTCCTGCCAAGTTAGCTTCATTGTCTTTTTTTAAAAAGGATCAGCATTAGGTAAATAGCTTAGGAATGATTTAGCATTTGAAAGGGCTGCCTATTATTCTTTTTCAATAAAATAATGAAAAATCAACTGTATGTTAGCACTTTAGTTGGGGGTAAGAATGATAATCTTACACTTTAATGAAAGTGAATATAATATGAAAATTTTTTTTACTGATATGCTCTTCTCTGGCCTCCACAAGTCTGTGGGGCAGGTAGGAGTGTTTCATTTAGTTGAAAAAAAGTAAAGAAAAGAAAGAAAAACAACTCAGAAAATAAGTCCTCACAGCACTATTCAAAACAGCAAGACCTGGAATCAACCTGAATCCCCATAAATAGGAGATTGGATAAAGAAAATGTGGTACGTATAACCCACAGAATACTATACAGCCATAAAAAAGAACAAAATCATGTCCTTTGCAGTAATATGGATGCAGCTGGAGGCCATTATCCTAAGTGAATTAACACAGAAACAGAAAACCAAATACCACATGTTCTCACTTATAAGTGAGTGCTAAACTTTGATTGCACATGAACACAAAGAAGGGAACAAAAGACACCAGGACCCACTTCAGGATGGAGGGTGGGAGAAGGGTGAGGCTTGAAAAACTACCCATCGGGTAGTATGCTCACTACCTGGGTGACGATATATCTGTACACCAAACCTCCGTGACATGCAATTTATCCATGTAACAAAACTGCACGTAAACCCCTAGATCCTAAAATAAAAACTGGAAGGAATTAAAAGAAAGAGACTAAGGAGACATGACAATTAAATGCAATATGTGGTTTTGAATTGGAATAGTTTCAATAAAGAACGTATTTAGAGAACTGGCAAAACTTAAATGGGATCTCAGGATTAAAATGGAATAACAATGCTTCCTGATTTTGATGGTTTTGTGGCTAACACAGGAGAATACTCTTGTTGGTAGGAAATACTAAAGTATTGAGGGTGATGGGACATCACGTTGGCTCTTAACTCTTAATTCAGGAAAAATGCTATTTGTGCTGCACTTGCAATTTTTCTATAAGATTGTCTCAAAATTTAAAACAAGATGTAAGAAAATCTAACTGGGATAAATAAAAGATATTTTATTTAAAAATCCATTTTTTACACGTCAGCTATATAAGACTACATAAATGGATCTGAGAAGTTGAATATATCAGACTACAAATTTAATAAAAAGCAAGAGACAAATGAGAGCTATAGTTGTAATTAATCTATATAAAGGCAGTGTGCAAATTCTGACGAGTAATAATCCCATTATGTTAATTAGAACACATCTGAAAAATAGTATTCAATATTTAAGCATGTTCCCCTAATATATGCACGTTTACTTATTTATAAATTACACTCATGCATACTGTATTAATTTAGGAACATTATAAAACTTACACAGAATAGAAATTAAAGGGGATGAGATAAAAATAAATGTAAGTAGAATTTCTTTTATTTCTTTTTGCATCCCAATGAATCATCTTGCATTACCCTTTGGTGTATGTATTCCAATTTGGAGACCACTGGTATAGAAAGTGGATTTTAGAAAGATGAGAATTGAAACACAGATTGTTTAGAAAAGAATTTTTCTAAACAATCTCTTCTAATTGTTTAGAAGAGATTGTTTAGAGATTGTTTAGATTTGTCTAGGTCAAAGATGATGGTGGCTTGGACTACCATCTAGTGGCAGTAAAAATGGAAAGAGGTAGATGGATGAAATGTATATTTAGATTTAGAACTGATAGGACTAAATCAGTGAGAGAAGTACAGAAGGAGTGGAAAAAAAAAGAATTAGGAATGATTTCTAGATTTGTTGCTTTTATAACCTGGAGAGTGGTGGATAGTTCAACTCCTCTCTGTTTTATTTCAAAGCATAGAATTAGGACTAATGGTCAATATTATAAAGAGGCTGATTTCAACCCATTGTGGAAAATAACATTCTAAAAAAGAAAATAAACAAACAAAAAAATAGTAAACAGGCTAGATAAGCATTTGCCAAGGATTTTGTAAAAGGGATTCCTGAATTGGAAACGAAGTGCTAGATGACCTCTAATATGGTTTGGCTGTGCCCCCACCCAAATCTCATCTGAACTGTAGTTCCCATAATCCCCACATGTCGTGAGAGGGACCTGGTGAGAGGTAATTGAATCATGGGGGCAGTTTTCCTCATGCTATTCTCGTGATAGTAAGTTCTCATGAGATCCCATGATTTCATAAGGTGCTTCCCCTTTCGGTTGGCTCTCATTTCTCTCTCCTACCGCCATGTGAAGAAGGATGTGTTTGCTTTCCCTTCTGCCATGTTTGTTAAGTTTCCTCAGGCCTCCCCAGCCTTGTGAAACTGTGAGTCAATTAAACCTCTTTTCTTTATAAAGTACCCAGCCTCAGGTATATCCTTAGAGCAGCATGAGAACAGAGTACTACACCTCTAAGCTTCTTCCTAACTATAAGAATCCATGAGTCAAAGACTACTGCTCAATGTGTCAGTAAAGCGTCTCCATTTAACATCAGAACAGCTTCACAGTACCAAGTTTATAATATCATTTACAGATATTTCATAGGGAAGATTCCACAAACATCGATTATATATTTAACATTTATTTGTATAATATGAAATTAGTTTAAAAATAGATTTTTCATATAATATATTCCAAATGCTTGTATTACCTTGGCTAAAAAATAAAATAATTTTGAAATTTAGTAAGTTTTTTTGTCACAGTCTGGCTACCATGTGAAGAAAATTCCACATGAATAATAGTAAACCTAGAGTTGTTGCCAAATCTGTTAAAAGCAATCACCATCATTCTCACTTTACTGCCAACTTAAAAGAAAAATGCTAAGTAGACCTTTCAGCTTGGCATTAGAATATGTGAAGGTATATAATTTTTTGTATTAATTTGTATTACTGGGTGCTGGATACTATAGTCTATGAATTCTTCTTTGTCTGAAAATATTGTCTAAGATGTTATTGTTTTAACCTAATTACATATTTAATGTACTCTTGTAAGTGGGATAAAATATGAATACTAATACTTTTATGCAGACTTTAAAGTCCAGAATGGTTAGCGAGTAAAAAATAGGCCAATAGTGGAGTAGAAATTCATATTTTGAAGGGAAGGAAATAAATGCAAGAGACTGTAGTTTACAAATCAAATATCACTTGGATATTTATGTAGGAAGAATATAACTAATTTTCCATATTCTGAAAGGTGTTTGCTTATGACTGCCTTCCAAAAGACTCTCTTGTCTATAAATAAATTCTATTTATGGGCCTTAATTTTATCTTTCAGTTAATTATATCTTCTGGAAAGGGGTGAAAGTGGGGCGGGCTGTGGCAACAAATATATGCCTAGTTGTTTAATCTCATGAATAAGTGAATTAATTGCTTGTTTAACACTCCTTCTCCTACACTGTGCTAGCTTTGGGGATTACAACAGGTGAATAAGATGGTCTCTGCTCTCAAGGAACTCAGTATAATTGGAGAAACAGACAAGCCATTAGAGGATTATTATGACAGGACTAAGTGTTAGAGTAGAGAACCACAGCATTTTATAAGTGCTCATAGTAGAGTCAGGACACCTCTCAGAAGGGGCCATGTTTCATTTGAGTTTCAGTGCATTCAGGAGTATCTGGGTGAGTGTGGAATGAAAGCAGGTAGTGCAAGCAGCTGAAACGACTTGGACAAAAGAGCATTCACAAGGGAAGGTGAATCTGAGATGATTTTTGCAGCAGGAGGAGCCATCCAGGTGAAGAGTTGAAGGGAAGACAAAGTGTTTCAGTGAGAGAAGCAGAATGTTTGAATGCAAAAAGTGAGAGAGAATTTGGGTCTCTGTAGATCAACAATTTAGAATATTAGAATATAAGGGGAGAGATTCAGACATATCTTGACTAGTCTATAGAGGTAAGTAGGTGCTCAATGACAGGGTGCTGTATTAGAGGATAGAGCTGTACTAAGGTTTTCTTACTTAATGTGAAGGTCACAGGAAGTCACAGAATACTTTTGAAAAGAGAATGACACAATCGAAGCTTTGCGTTGGAAAAATCAACTCTGGTTGTAGTGTGAAGAATGGATTGGAGTGGAACAAGACCTAGGCAGGGAGAAGTGGCCTAATCTAAGAGATAGAGGATGATATCCAAGACTGAGATTTGTTACAGTGAGGATGCAGTAAAGGGAAGATTAGATATTATAAAGAGAGACATTTGATAGGGTTACAGACTATATGTGGGAAGTGTGGGAGAAGGAAATGTTAAAGATGAGTCCAAAGTGTCTGGTCTGGGTGGCCGGGTGTAAGGAAATCTTTGCATTGAGTTAAGAAATCCAGAAAAGGGATAGGAATAAATAGGAAGACAATGATTCCTGCCCTGCATTTAGCTAGAGGCACCTGTCAGATATCCACTTGGAAATGTATAGGATAAAGTAAAATAAATATTTGACGAATACATTTTAGCTGCTCCTGACACATGCATGCACAAAAGGGTAACTATGTGAGATGATGAGTGTGTTAATTTGCTTCACCATAGTAACTAATTTAGTACTTATGGCTAGCCCATTATATCATGCTGTATACCTTAAATATATACAATAAAATGTATTTAAAAGAAAAGAGTGGTGTGCTACCGAAATTAGATCACCATAAGGTTTTTCACCTGCATTAAAGTTAAGATGATAGGTATTTCTTAATGACAAATAGTGGAATGCAATGTTACCATAAAAATGCAGTTAATTTAATTATGAAATAGAGATTTGAGACTCATTAGCTTTTAGGCAGTAGGCGAATTCATGGGAACTCATGTCGTCATCTAAAGACAAAATGGAGAAGGCCATAGATGGAGCCCAGGATATACCATCATTTAGAAGAAAAGCAAGAAGCAGCATTAAAAGAGTCTGAGGTAAATCAGCTACCCTGTGAGCTAGAGTAGTGGAGAAGAGTTTTAGAGTCAACTGCATCACTTACTATAGAGAAGCCAGGAAAAGTGAGAATTGCACAGCATCAACTGGATTTGGCAATAAGCATGTAGACCTTATAAGCTATTCTTTAGTAGAATGGTGTGGGAAGAAACCAGATTATAGTGGATTGAGACATGAATGGAAAGTGAAAACGTATAGATGGTAAGCATACACTATTTCAAGATATATAGATGGAAAAAAAAAGAATATGGTGGGACTATAAGTGCTGATGTAGAAAAATGTTTATGATGTATTATTAAGTAAAAGACCATCTGGCTATGGCAGAATATCTATTGTATTATTACATTTTTACAAAAAAATGTATAGGTTCCATGAGGGCAGGAACTTTGTTCACTAGTATATATATATCACCTGAAACAATACGTGGCTCATAACAGCACATCAATTGTTGAATGAATAAATGAGAATGTGTGTGTGTGTGTGTGTGTGTGTGTGTGCATAAAGAGAGAAAGATAAAGAAAAAATGTATACATATATGACAATCTGTTGAACATGATTATTTCTGGGAACATAATAATTGTGGGAGGAGAAGCTTTCAACTTGTTATGTAAATTTACATGTAAATAAAATGTATATGATTAGGTTTCAAAAAAACTAGCTTATTCTACTCAGACTAATTGTATCAAGGCAACTAATTAATTTGAAATAAAAAGGATTAAATATAAATGTCAAATGAATGGACACACTCACTCATCTCCTGTTCTGCCTAGCAGGGACATCTACTCAGGAGATTACCTTCGGACTAGACAAAAGGGGATGGAATCAGCTAAATAAATCTGTAATTACCCCTCAAATCCAGAGAAAATGTCTCCTTTCACTACACAAGCAGATAAGGAAACTTGTCAAGTAACTTTTAAAATTTCTGCCTTTGGATAATCTTTCCTAGTCTCTGCTATTTGTCCTTGCAATTGCCTTACTCATCCACTGTCGGTGAACCTTCAGGACACCAAAGCTTTTTCTACATTGATTACAATTTTCCTGGTCTCTTTGGAAACACAGCTACAAATAACACGCTAAGTGATTCTTTTCTGGAAATAGTTTTCATCCAAAAGTAAGTTTCTTTCCTACTAGATAGTCTTCCCTGACTCTTATTATCTCATGTTCTTTTCTCTTTTTTGGAATTATTTATTTGAAGACCCATACTTCAAAAAAATAAGATTTAATATATAAGTTACAAACTACCAAATACCTACTGACATGAATATTCACTTATGTAATTAATGAATCTCTCATTTATAAGATTACTTACAGAATAAAATGTAAGAGGGAACTCTAGGGGTACATTTTAAAATTATCTAATTTATAGAGACTATTTCAAGGATACATACACTCCATAAAACAAGTGTACCCACACTGCCAAAATAATATTTGTATTTTTCTTGCTATTTTCAATATGACTACAGAATAATGTAAAATTATTTTTAAACAAATGTACAAGTTTTCATCTCCTCTATTCCAAGCAAAAAATGCACTTAGATATGTAGACTAGGGAGTAGCTTAAATACTAAACTATTCCTGATACTACCAACTTTGCCCTATAGACAGGAAATGTTAAGGAAGATATCCTTAAGTAATATCATCGTAATATTAGTTAGAATCCTCAACGTAAGATATAGAGAATTTAAAATCCTTTCATTTTTAAATTTTTATTTATTTATTTTTTGAGATGGAGTCTCACTGTGTCACCCAGGCTGGAGTGCAATAGTGCGGTCTCAGCTCACTGCAACCTCTGCCTCCTGGGTTCAAGTGATTTTCCTGCCTCAGCCTCCCGAGTAGCTGGGATTACAGGCACCCACCACCACGCCCAGCTAATTTTTGTATTTTTATTACAGACCGGGTTTCACTATGTTGGCCAGGCTGGTCTCGAACTCCTGACCTCATAATCCACCCGCTTCAGCCTCCCAAAGTGCTGGGATTACATGTGTGAGCCACCACACCCGGCCTAAAACCCTTTCAATATTTTGAAAACATGATCTCTCACTCTGCTTTACATGAATTGGTCCATTAATATTTAGTTATCCTAATATGGACAGGACTGCCATATTTAAGAAGTTTAACATTTTCTTTGTACCTTTGACTTTCAAGAAAGAAAAATTATCAAAAGTTTCATATTTATATTCACCAAGTGGTTTTTCCAGAAAACAGCCCAACAAAAAAAATGGTAATGTTCTCCCATTCTTGAGCAGAATTGCCTTCTTTTAGCCATGGTTAGGAAAGATCTGTCAAATAACTGAGTGTCTTTGCACCTGCAATTAGCCACACATAGATGAAAGTATTTCATGTCAAATTCATATGGACATATCAGTGTCTTAGCTGCAAGCCATGTGACAACAAACTGAAATCCAAGACAACTTAGTAGAGAAAATGAGGCAGTCTCCAGAAAAAATTATCACAAGTCTATTAAGTACCCACATTATTCCAGGTACTGTACTGCGGAGAAACATAAAGAATAGTGAGAGTTTATGAGAAATAACTCTGTAAGAAACATTGTGGTATACTATATATCCACAGTAGAGAATAATTTTTATGATTTAGAGAAAGCTGAGAAGAGAATATATTTGCTTATTCTTCAAAACAGTTGAGTTTCCTACACTGTCCGTTCATTATTTATAAAGGGCATTTATAATTCTGTGTTATAAAGCAGTTTCAGCTAAAAATAAAGAGAATTATTGAGTAAACACTGCATTAATTTGGTATGACCAGACTCCCAAGGCTACAGGCATCTAGGTATCATTGTAGGCTACAGTGATACCTGATTGATACTATCAATGTAGGCTGCAGGTATCATTAAAACAGTATATAGGCCCAATTAACAGGTATTAGATATCTTTCCCTAAAATATAAATCTCTGAACTTGTAATCTATCTGTGACTTTGCCCTTTTATTAGTGTCTTTTCTAAATTCCAATGGTAAGGGTTATTGGCTCTGTCTCTAATACAGATATTGAGCTATTTTGAATAGTTTATTTAGGATTTATTATTAATGGCGGTATTATTAAGCAATTAGTCCTGGCAGATCAAGATATGGAATTAACATTTTATATTCTGAAGTGAACTTTATAAGTAGCTTATTTAAAGCTACTCTCATTTAGAGAGTAAGAAAATTAGCAAATTAAAATGGACCCTCTGCCCTGATATTTATTATAGATCATCTTTCCTCCTCTACTACATGTACAGTAGCATGGTTATAGCTGACTTAATTTTATATAATTATTTTCATTTAACTTTCTCCTTTATGTAGAAAAATACCCAGAGTTTTTGTCTGAAATATACTGTAGGGATAACAATTTTCAAAACCAGAAATAAAAAGAAAAAATAAATATACCCTGAAGATCTCTAATAAATAAAATGTGTTGCCTTGAAATACCTCCAGGATGAAATTCTCCCCACTCTACCTCTGGATCAGAACATCTGTATCACAGTTACCCTTCATCTGCTGCAGGTAAAATACTTGCCTCATTTCTGTCATCACTGAATATGAAAAGCAGATGGTCTGCACTCTTTCTACAACAATAGAGATCATATTTTTGTTCCCAGAAAAGACATCCCAAAATTGCAAGTAAAGTGAAAAGTGATCACTGCCTAGGCAGACTGTTTCCCTCCAGTGAGGGTTCACTGCTTATAGACTGGAAAGGACACTAACTGGAAAGCTCGCAGTTTTAATCTCACATGCTCTCTAGCAACTCTCTTATTTTCTGCGAAAAGTTTGCCCCTTATGGTCAGGGTTGAATCCATAGCCCAATGTCTCACAGGGTGTTTCCTGGGTGGTATGTGAGAAAATGAATATTTTATATTTGTTATAAATCTGGTGGGTAGAGAGGTTGGTAGAGGGCTTACTTTATCTCTGGACATTCTGCCTAATGACTTGACATCATAGGAATTTCTCCAGCATGTATTGTGGAAACAATCCGGCCTACCTTTTCTATTGAGAGAACCCACAATATCAGAAATCAGAATGCCTGGATTTGAATTCTGCCTCTATAGGCTGTGTAACCTTGAGCATGCCGCTCAACCTGAACCTCAGTCTTTTCATTTATAAAGGCGATATTAATGATAGCAGCACACCAATGCCACAGGATTTTTTTCTTTTTTTGGGTGGTGAGGTATAGAATAAAGTGAAATAAAATATTTTAAACAAATTGCAAATTGTAAAATTTTATAAAAATGCTAGTTATAACTAATTGTTACTACACGTTCTCTCTTTTTTTTGTCCTCTGGTACATCATCTCTTCAACTCCATGTCTTCCTCCCCCTTCTGCTCTATTGTGTGCAAGTGGTGAAATCAGAACGAAACCAAAGCAAAACATGATACCATTGCTTGGGTCTCATGAAATACTATCTTGCCCACTCTCTTTCTTTTTCCTGGTAGTCAGATTGGAATTTCCAATTGCCAAACTGAAGTTCAACCCATGGAGTTGCTTTCTGTTTTTCCTTTTATTTGACTAATGTGTCAGTTCTTTAAATGTCTATGGAGGAATGCAAAGAAATAATTCACAGTGCTCTATGGGGAGACACATGTTACCTTGCCAATTAACTTTATTTTTACAAAACAATAAATATGTGGAACAGAAAATTTTGTAACAAGGAGGATAGGTGCTGAATCTAAAGGAATATTCATGGTATGCTGTGTTGTAATTACTTATAATCAAAAACCAACTGACGGATACATCTCAGCTGGGATATTCCATCCAATTGTTTTCTTATTCTTTACTCATATCATAACAGGTAAGTTTCCAAAATATTATACAAATACTGTATCTATTAACCTGGGAAAGCATACCCATTTTTGATCACAGGTTTCTCAGCTGATTGTATTCTGGGAAGCATCCAGAAAGTACCATTAAAATTCACTGCAGTCAAAGTTGTTTCTTACAGTGTTGCTTCTCTTAGTGCCTGTTGCCCCCTTTCCTGTACCAATGAGAGGAATCATGTGTCCTCATGGTATGCCTTGCCTGCCACCTCCTTCCAAAATTTCTGTTATAACATCCAAAACTGTCACCTCCATATTCTTGAGCTTTTGCAATCCTGGAAAGCAAAATGTTGTTTTAGCTGTCTCTTTACCAAGATACAAGACACAGATTCTGAAAGTTAATTTAAGGATATTTTATAATAATATAAGTGAAAATGCATGTAAAAGTGCAAGGATTAGCTAAAAATTATATTCAGAAGCCATATTAATGCAATTCTTATATGTCACATTCAGAAAAATTATATTAGAACACAAGCTAAAAATAAATCATTCATCACAATATAGTTAGAAGAATATTAAGAGAATAATAAGTGATTTGACCTACTAAAGGAGAATTACACTATTTCCCTTTGAAATTTACCAGCATATTATTAGACTCTTCAATATGATCCTTATGAATCTTCAATATGATTCTTCAATATGAATACTTACCAATAATTCTGAAGTTCTATTATGCATCCTTTATATTAGGTTTATTTTACTTTGAATTGTTATCCTGTAAAACAATATAGCTGAAAATCAAAATGGCAAATCCATTTCAAAGAATTTCTATGCCTCAGTTTCCTAATTTGCATGAAATGGGATTAATAATAACACTTTTCTCACTGAGTTACCATGAAGATTAAATGAGCTTATAAATGTGAGGTACGCAACATAATGCCTAGCACATAGAAACACAATATTTAAGAAATTACGGAGTTCAATATGGTTGTTAGAATTTTATCAGCCTTACATTTCCCAACCTATTGGTTATTGTCTGCTCTTACCTAACCAATGAGTAATAAGAATCTCTAATAAACTACCACTTTTGGTCAACTCTTGATGCAGTAACAAAGAAGAATATCACAATTATCAGAAAACATGACTCAGGCACATCTTCCTTTTCCAGCTACATATATCCACGAGGCTGAATTGTCCTCACACACTTCAACAGAAACAATAACTAGCAACAAGAAATCCAGCTATCTTCTATTAGAGCAGACATTAAAGAGATTTGAAAAAATGACAAATAATGCTACTTTTCTCAGTACTCATCTTTTATTTTGTAGAATATATTTATATTCATAAAATATTTATGTTATGTGTAAAAGGCTTGTTATTACTTTTGAATGAGTAAATAAATATTTTTGAAAATTCTCAGTTTTAGTTTCTATTATGGTAAAAATCAATAGATGTAACTCAGATAAGCAAAAGCTGTTTGGGGTCTTTAGTGATTTGTAAGAATACAAACGGATCCTGATGCCAAACAGTTTGAGAACTGCTAACATCTAAAATTTCTTTAAATTATTTTATGGTTAAAATTTTCTGAATAGATATATTAATCAATGCCAATTTATGCCAAACATTCTTTCTTTAAATTTCAAAAATCTCACATTATAAAACCGAAATAACAAATGATTTTATGATACAGTGTTTTGTAGTAAAAAGAATATGAGATTTGGATTTTAAATTCCAATACTGAATCCATTGCTAATGCTGTAGTAAGATGAAAAAATTATTATTATTATTATTTTGAGACAGGGTCTCATTCTGTCACCCAGGCTGGAGTGCAGTGGCGTTATCACAGTTCAATGCAGCCCCAACCTCCCAGGCTTAAGTGATCCTCTCACCTCAGCCTCCTGAGTAGCTGATACTAAGCGCGCATGTCGCCATGCCCAGAACATTTTTTCTTTAAATTACCTTTAATGCCAAAATATTGGGCTGATCCTGGCATAATTCATGTCAGTGGTGAAATTTTTCCATACTGCTCTCTTCAACTTCTAGAGTATTTGGCTTTGGTTTTTACAAAAAGTTAAAAATAAATAAATATAAAAATACCATTTTTTCCTATCTAGATTGCACTGAAGCTGAGAGATGTGTAGTCCTAGACTAGAAGAAGAGATTCAGCTGAGACCAAGGGCTCAGTTGCAGAAAGAAGTGACCACGAGGCTGTGAAATCCTAATAATAAACTGAAATCCCTGAAAGACTACTGGACTCCTAGAAATCGAAACCAGTCTTATATAGTGAAATCTCAAAGAAAAGGCCGAACCAAGGTGACAGCAAGGTTACACCACAGACTTAGGTAAGTCACTTCTCTATGTATTCACATCTGCTTCTGTAAAGTGGCTCAATAATACTTACCTCACAGGGTTGTTTTAAAAGATTACATGTGTTAATGTAAATGAAATATCTATATAAATTATAACGTGCTCAACTAACTGTTATTGTTGATATTGTGAAAGTAACCAAAGGAGCCCCGAATGTAGTCAGACCACATGGCTTTCAGGTCATGTTCCATCATTTGGCTCCTTCGCTTATCCTTTCTAAACCTAGATTTCTGTATCCATATGAGGTAGAAGGGACATGTGTGATGGTGTGGGCTTTGGGAAGGGGCAGTGTGTGAGGTGGGGAGCCAGAGAGATGGCAGAAGCTTGTTGCTCTGCAACATAACCCCATGTTTTTAGAAAAATTAGTAATGCCTTAGAAAAGCACTGTGAATCTTGTGGAGAAAGAAGAGGCTCATGACTCAGCATGACAAGGAGAGGAACCTGAAAGATGCGTAAATGCAGGAGGGCAGCCTGAAAAAGGCTAAGAAATGTTGGGTGTTGAAGCAGTTTTGTACCTAGCAGGAACCCTGCTTGTAAAGTGAGTATGGTCAATTTTTATTAAAGATTTTTTTTTTTGCAGGAGCTAGAAACAAGCTGCTTCTATAGAAATAAAGCACTTCCTTCTTGTGTATTGTATACCATGCTGTCTATCCCTTCACATTTTAATAAAATAGGGGACAGATTAATATTCCCTCATGTATTTGTTGGAGTAGGACCTTAGAGCTGACAGTTATAGTTTCTGAGAGTTAAAAAAATTAAAAACACTGTTTTGCCAAAGATTGTAATTGTTCTCTAACTCTTACACAAGATGATTTTGGTGAGGATAAAAACGTTTCCACAGAGTATTCATGTTTGCATGAGTGTTCAAATATAAAATATTCTATAGAAAAGCAGCAGTAGGTAATAGGTACAGATGAGCAGACTTAAACCACACATTCATAAAACACAACGGTAAAAGTAAAAATCATCCAGATCACTTTGCAACATCCCTATACACTGTGGACAATAATATGTTTGCAGAAACAAGTCCAAATAACTATTGGTGATACCCTAAAGAAACATACCAGTCAATATTAAGAAAACTCTTCAAAACACTAACAAAATTTCTTCTATTAAATGAGGAGTCTGAAATTAGGGAGCTTCAAGGGGGTTTCAGTTCTAACATTCTCTAAGTCAATGACTTTTTTTAGCCACTAAAAGCTGAAATATAGACTAAATTCTCCTAAAATGAAACCTTTGTTTAAAAAGACAAATCTTAAAGAATTCAGAAGGCTGCATGTCTCTTTGGAGGCTGACAGAAGTGTGGCACGTAGTTATTATTAAAGTCCATGAGGGGACAAGAGTTCTGAGCATTGTCTACTTTGAGTGTCAACTATGAGAAAGTCAGTTTGGCAAGCATTTTATATACATCATCCTATTTTAGAGTAAAAATGAAGTTTTAGAAGTTTTAAGTATCAATGAGGCCCAGGAAACCAGAAATGTCACATTCATATTCTCGAACAATTTAATCTGAACCACTGACAAGCATTAGAATACATTAAATAAAGAGCAATGGCGCTAATAATAACAGACTGGAACATTAAAGCTGGGCTTGCTACATGACATGAGATAGCTGGACTGTATAGGTGCTGCATGGAGTTGATTTAGATTCATCCAACAAAGAGAGAGTGCAGTATATTGTTTATAATTCCCTGAAATACACACACACACACACACACACACACACACACACACTTTAAATAATCATAACTGTGAAACCGAAATAAATAGCTAAAAATTATAAGCTTCAAACTTAAATAAAAGTATGGCCCATAAAAAATTGATTACAAGCCTTGAGAGAAAAGAATCTTGCTGACATATGTGCTTTGCAACTTCCATAAACTGTGCTGAGTATTACTCATTTCAGTAAGAGAAGGAAGATTACAAAGAACAGATCTGTTAAGACTTTGGGGTGGGATGTGTGTTAGTACAAGACTTAGTTAAGATTCCTTAGTTAA